>NT_187633.1:152067-304135 GCF_000001405.40 Homo sapiens
TCAATCTATGGCAAGAAGACTATGCACACCTAGCTCCTCAGGATAATAAGGACCCCAAAAGCAAAGAAAATGATGGATAAAGTGGCTGACCAATGTGTCTATTGTCAGAGAAACAATGCTCAAAACAGACCTCCCATATCTCCCTTGGCCAAGGTGGTACAATTCAGGGGAACCATGTGAGGGGAGGACTAGCAAATTGACTCCAGTGTTATGCCTATGTCTTCTAGAGGATTTAAATATCTCCTGGTGCTTTTCTGATGCCTTTGCTGGTTGGATAGAGGCTTTTCCATGCTGGACTGAAAAGGCAGAAGCCATGAAGTCTTTACTAAAGGAATTTATCCCTCCATTCAGTCTCCCTAAGTCAGTCCAGAGTGCTAATGGACCCGCATTCATTTCTAACATAGTAGTAAAAACTTCCCAGGCCTTGGTCATACAGTGGAAGTGGCATGTAGCCTGGAGACCAAACTCCTTGGGAAAGACTGAAAGGTCCCATAGAACTCTCAAAGGTATCCTAGCCAAGTTATGCCAGGAGGCCCAAGATAATTGGTTAAAGCTGTTACCCATAGCCTTGGTCCAAGTATGGGTAGCACTCAGAGAAAGAATGAGACTTAGCTCCTTTGAAATGCTATATGGGGCTGGGCACAGTGGCTCATGCCTGTAATCCCAGCACTTTGGGTGGCTGAGGCAGGTGGATCACTTGAGGTCAGGAGTTTGAGACCAGCCTGGCCACATGGTGAAACACCATGTCTACTAAAAATACAAAAAATTAGCCGGGTGTGGCAGCATGTGCCTGTAATCCCAGCTACTCAGCAGGCTAAAGCATGAGAATCGCTTGAACCTGGGAGGCAGGGGTTGCAGTGAGCCGAGATCACGCCACTGCACTCCAGCCTGGGCGACAGAGCAAGACTCTGTCTCAAAAAAAAAAAAGAGAAAGAAATATTATATGGGGCCGGGTATGGTGACTCACACCTGTATTCCCAGCACTTTGAGAGGCCCACTGGTGAAGAGGATCACTTAAGCCCAGGAGATCGAGACCAGCCTGGGCAACAGAACAAGACTCTGTCTCAAAAAAGGAAAAAAGAAAGAAAGGAAAGGGAAGGGAAGGGGAGGGGAGGGAAGGCGAGGGGAGGGAAGGTAAGATTATATGGGGCCGGGCGTGGTGACTCACACCTGTATTCCCAGCACTTTGAGAGGCCCACCCGTGAAGAGGATCACTTAAGCCCAGGAGTTCGAGACCAGCCTGAGCAACATAGTGAGACTTCCTCCCTATTTAAAAAATAATAATAAAAACCAGGCGTGGTGGTGCGCACCTGTAATCTCAGCTACTTGAGAGGCTGAAGGAGGAACACTGCTTGAATTCAGGGAGGTCAAGGCTGCAGTGAGCTGTGATGACGCCACTGCACTCCAGCCTGGACAACAGACCCAGTCTCCAAAAAAAAAAAGAAATGTTAATATGTAAGGCCTTATCCAGGCGTGGCCAGCCCCTTCTCTTGCCCAGATGAGGAGATAGAAAGGGTGATGAAGCATATTATGTTATTCATCTGGAGTCATTTGTTGCTATTCTCAACCACCTCAGCAACCCCAGCCTCCTGGTCCCCTCTGGGGTAAAACTTCATCTGTACAACCCAGGAGACTGGGTATACCTCAGGACCCAGAAGGCTGAGTACTCCCAGGACCAGCTCAGCCCGCTATGGATGGGGCCCAACCTAACACTTTTAACCACTCATTCTTCTCTTAAACTCCAAGAAGTAACCCCTTGGATCCATCACTCAAGAGTGAAGAGGCCAGGCATGGTGGCTCACGCCTGTAATCCCAGCACTTTGGGAGGCAGATGGGGGAGGATCACTTGAGGCCAGGAATTTAAGACCAGCCTGGGCAACATGGTGAGACCTTGTCTCTACAAAAAGTAAAAGAATTAGCCAGGCACCGCTAATTGGTGGTGCACGGAGGCTGGGGCGGGAAGATCCCATGAGCTTAGGCGTTTGAGGCTGCAGTGAGCTATGATTGAACCCCTGCACTCCAGCCTGAGTGACATAGAGAGACTCTGTCTCAAAAAAAAAAAAAAAAAGAGTGAAAGCCCAGGAGCCCCCAGAAGATGCCTCCCCAGCATACATTTGTGAACCCATCTCAGACCTCAAATTGGTTTTTAGAAGAAAAGGCTCAGATAAGTCAAGTGTGCCCCTTGCCATTCTCTTGCCATAGTAGGCATCTTCTTTATCCCTGCAGGAACCCTCATGCTGTTGCCCTTTTACACTGTGGAGATGCTTAGGTGGTGGCAAATCCCTTCATAAAACACCTAAAAATGGCCCCTATGCTTTTTGGCCTTTTTTTTTTTTTTTTTTTTTTTGAGATTGAGTCTCACTCTTGTCGCCCAGGCTGGAGTGCAGTGGCGCAATCTCGGCTCACTACAACCTCTGCCTCCCAGGTTCAAGTGATTCTCCTGCCTCAGTCTCCCAAGTAGCTGGGTCTACAGATGTGCGCCACCATGCCCAGCTAATTTTTTTATTTTTAGTAGAGACGGGGTTTCACCGTGCTGGCCAGGCTGGTCTCGAACTCCTGACCTTTTGATCCGCCCACCTCAGCCTCCCAAAGTGCTAGGATTACAGGCGTGAGCCATCGCACCCAGCCTGCTTTTTGGCCCTTTTAGTTGCCTTGGCCAGTGATCTCTGGGAGGCCAATATAATAATCAAGGTCTCCTGTATCACAGCTGGTGGGAACAATCTGTTCAAATGTTGGATGTGCCATAGGCTTCCCCACACTTGGATGGGGTGACCTGTTGCTAATCCTTTGAGAGGAGTCATTAACATCACAGGGTTGTGTGGACCTCACCTGCTAAGGGCAATGTCACTAAGAGAATAGGCCAAGTTTATTTAAATTGCTCAGGAAAAGGAGAAAAGAGGCAAACATGCTACAAAAGAGTATTTGCAGTGGCTCACCCTTGTTTCGGCAATGTAATATGCCTAGGACAGTGTACTGTGGGCTTCTGGGGCCTATCAGGGTAACAGCCCATAGTGCAACCAGCCATCATAAGAGACCAAAAAAAAAAAAAAAAAAGGACGGGGGCTATTGGACAAACCATGGAAGCTGCCGGACTTGCTGTGGGGTTGGCTGCCCTTTCTTGCGGGGGGGTTGCCTGTTATGAAGTCACCCTAAGAAATTTAATCTGAATACCCAAGGCTCTGGCAGCTAAAACTGGAGAGGCTCTCTAAAATATATGTATTTCTCTAAATTCACTAGCCAATGTAGTGTCAGAAAAGCGATTGGCCTTAGACTATTTACTAGCAGAACGGGAGGGCTGTGTGTGGCACCAATACCTCCTGTTGCACTTGGGTAAATGCCTCCAGAGGAAATAGAGGCTAATGTAAAAGAAATATTCAACACTTTGGGAGGCCAAGGTGGGTGGATCACTTGAGGTCAGGAGTTCAAGACCAGCCTGGCCAACATAGTGAAACCTGGTCTCTACTAAAAATACAAAAAAATTAGCTGGGCATGGTGGTGCACGCCTGTAGTCCCAGCTACTCAGGAGGCTGAGACAGGAGATCGCTTGAACCCAAGAGACAGAGGTTGCAGTGAGCCAAGATCGTGCCACTATACTCTAGCCTGGGTGACAGAGCGAGACTCTGTCTCAAAAAAAAAAAAAAAAAAAAGAGAGAAAGGGGCCGGGTGCGGTGGCTCAAGCCTGTAAGCCCAGCACTTTGGGAGGCTGAGGCGGGTGGATCACGAGGTCAGGAGATCGAGACCATCCTGGCTAACACAGTGAAACTCCGTCTCTACTAAAAACACAAAAAGTTAGCCGGGCGTGGTGGCGGGCGCCTGTGGTCCCAGCTACTAGGGAGGCTGAGGCAGGAGAATGGTGTGAACCCGGGAGGCGGAGCTTGCAGTGAGCCGAGATCCCGCCACTGCACTCCAGCCTGGGCGACAGAGCGTGACTCATCTCAAAAAAAAGAAAGAAAGAAAAAAAAGAAAGGAAATATTTAAACAAGTAGAACAGCTGCATTCCTTCAACCAGAAGGGTAGCTCAACCAACGAGCTATCTTGGAATGCAGTGAAGTCTGCTGTACCTCACTTCACCTCGTTTCTTCCTCTGCTGTGGCCTCTAGTGGCCTCTGTTCTGTTACTTTTCGGTCCCTGTATTTTAAATTGATAGTACAGTTTGTGTCCTCATTTTGTGTAACAGCAGCAATACCAGCTCCTTTGAGCAACTTCAGATGACTAAAAAACTTATTTGAACTCAGGAGCCTGAGAATTTCACTCCTCTAACTTTAGTAGCCTCACTGTTCCCTGTCAGCATGAAGTAGACAGAGAAGAATGACCTTCATCCCTAACCGCTCAAGAATGAGGGGTGGGGTGTTTCAAGGGGGATTTGTAACTGTGTCCAACCGAATCTGGCTCAGCTTTTCTGTGTGTGTGTGTGTGTGTGTGTGCGCGTGTGTGTGATGGGGTCTTGCTCTGTCAACCAGGCTGGAGTACAATGGTGTGATCACAGCTCACTGCAGCCTTGACCTTCCAGGCTGAAGTGATCCTCCCACCTTAACCTCCCAAGTAGCTGGGACTACATGTGTGTGTCACCATGACTAGCTAATTTTTAAAATTTTTTTGTAGAAATAGGCTTTTGCCATGTTGCCCAGGCTGGTCTTGAACTCCTGGGCTCAAGCAATCCTCCCATCTCAGCCTCCCAAAGTGCTGGGATTATAGGTGTGAGCCACGGTGCCCACTGTGGCTCAACTTTTATGTAACAAAGTCAAAGTTGTGAGTTTTTTTTCAGTTGCTGTGGATCCTCAGGTTGAAGGTCACTTACCCTGACTGTGCCCAGATGAACCAGGTATGCAGCTCACAACTTTGTTACATAAAAGTTGAACCAGATTGATCTGGTATGGTTATACAACTACACTGAGAGGGAGACAGTTAACATGGACTCACACATCTCAGAGACATTGTGAGTCTCCCTCAATATTTTCCTAAGTTCTTAAAGCTGACTTAGATTCTGTAGCCTTGACCCAAGGTTCCACTCTTGCCAATATGTTGATCTTTTACTTTGAAAATATACTAAGCAGGCTAGGTGTGGTGGCTCACGCCTGTAATCCCAGCACTTTGGGAGGCCGAGGCGGGTGGATCACCTGAGGTCAGGAGATCGAGACCATCCTGGCTAACACGGTGAAACCCCATCTCTACTAAAAATACAAAAAATTAGCTGGGTGTGGTGGCGGGCGCTTATAGTCCCAGCTACTCGGGAGGCTGAGGCAGGAGAATGGCGTGAACCCGGGAAGCGGAGCTTGCAGTGAGCTGAGATCGCACCACTGCATTCCAGCCTGGATAGAGCGAGACTCTGTCTCAAAAAAAAAAAAAAAAAAAAGAAAGAAAAAGAAAAAGAAAATATACTAAGCAGGCCAGGCGTAGTGGCTCATGCCTGTAATCCCAGCACTTTGGGAGGCCGAGGCGGGCAGATCACCTGAGGTCAGGAGTTCGAGACCAGCCTGACCAACATGGCAAAACCCCATCTCTACTAAAAATACAAAAAGTAGCTGGGTATGGTGGCACATCCCTGTAGTCCCAGCTACTCAGGAGGCTGAGGCAGGAGAATCGCTTGAACCTGAAAGGCAGAGGTTGCACTGAGCCAAGATCATGCCACTGCACTCCAGCCTGGGTGATAGAGTGTGACTCTGTCTCAAAAAAAAAAAAAAGAAAGAAAGAAAAATAAAAGAAAATATACTAAGCAGGATGCTCTTACAGACTTCCTCCTTCTCCTAAAGGTGCTGGCTGAAGAAGGCCATGAAGCCTTCTAATCTAAACTCAGTGGGTACAAACAACTATTACCTACTTGGGACATGAGCTATCTCAGGGCATTCAGAAGCTCACCCCCAAATGTCTTAAGTCAATTTTGTTTATCTCTCTCCCCAAAACAAAAAAAAAAACAACTTTATACGGCTGGGCGCAGTGGTTTCATGCCTGTAGTTCCAGCACTTTGGAAGGCCAAGGTGGGAGGATTGCTTGAGCCCTGGAGGTTGAGGCTGCAATGAGCCATGATTGCACCACTGCATTCCAGCCTGGTGACAAAGCAAGACCTTGTCTCAAAAACAAACAAATAAGCCAGATGCAGTGGCTCATGCCTGTAATCCCAACACTTTGGGAGGCCGAGGCAGCGGATCACAAGGTCAAGAGATCCAGACCATCCTGGCCAACATGGTGAAACCCTCTCTCTACTAAAAATACAAAAAATTAGCTGGGCGTGGTGGCGGGCACCTGTAGTCTCAGCTACTCGGGCGGCTGAGGAAGGAGGATCGTTTGAACCCAGGAAGCGGAGTTTGCAGTGAGCTGAGATTGCACCACTGCACTCCAGCCTGGCGACAGAACGAGACTCCGTCTCAAAAAACAAACAAACAAAAACTACAAAAATTTCCAGTGACAGCTGGCTATTGTCACCAATGGATTTCTAATTTTGCTGCCCTTGCCAAACCTCTGTATGCCCTCCTTGAAGACACCATCCCAGCACCCATTTTCTGGCCCTGAGAGGCACTAACCTCCTTTGTAGCCTTAAAATTAGCATTTCCCATACCTCTGATGTTGGCTTACTGAATTTTGACTAATCTTTTCACTTCTATTACCATGAAAATAATGGAATTGCTGGAGGTATTCTATGCAACCTTTTGCCTCTCAGATATATCCTATATTTCTCATGCCAATTGAATCCTGTGGCAGCAGGCCTGCCCTCATGCCTGCATGTGATGGCTGCAGCTGACTCTGTAACTGACAAAGCCAGCACTCATGTTAGGCTTATCCATTTTCTGTTATGTTCCCCATGCTGTCCATCTTCCAAGTTCATAAGACATAGTACCTCTCCACATGGCAATAGACCTATGAACAGGTCCTATTAACCAAACCCTCCATTATCTTACATCATTGTGCCACTGTAAATCTGGCTACTCGGCTAGGCATGGTGGCTCATACCTGTAATCTCAGCACTTTGGGAGGCTGAGGCGGGTGGATCACTTGAGCCCAGGAGTTCGAGACCAGCCTGGGCAACATGGCAAAACCCTGTCTCTACACAAAATACAAAAATTAGCTGGGCATGGCGACACATGCCTGTGGTCCCAGCTACTTAGGAGGCAGAGGTGGGAGGATTGCTTGAGCCCAGAGGCAGAGGTTGCAGTGAGCTGAGATTGCATCATTGTACTCCAGTCTGGGCAACAGAGTGAGACTGTCTCAAAACAAAAACAAAAACAAAAACAATCTGGCTACTCTATTAGCCCTCCCTGATGATGGAGAACCCTACTCCATTCCACATGATTGCCTTCCAATGATAGAAATGGTCTCAAGGTCATGAGACCTGTTGTGCACCCTTTAGACAACACAGACTCACTCCTATTTTGTGATGGCTCCCATAAACGAGGTTTCTGGGGGAACACAATAACTGCTATGTCATAGTTTCCCCACAGGAAACACTTGAGGTCCTGTTTGCCCACAGTAGAGTAAACCCCAGGCTGGGGAATTTATAGCTCTTATTAGAGCTTGCGCATTGGCAGAAGGGAAAACTGCCACTATTTATACCAACTCCAGTTGGAGTCTGCTGACCATTGGTGCAATCTGGAAATCCTGAGAATTCTTTTTTTGGAGAGATGGGGGTCTCAGTATGTTGCCCAGGCTGGTCTTGAACTTCTGGCCTAGAGCAATCCTCCTGCCTCAGCCTCCCAATGTACTGGGATTACAGGCATGAGCCACCATTCATGACCAATCCTGAGAATTCTTAAACGCTACTGGTACTCCTGTTACCAATGGGCATATAATTCTTGCCCTACTACAGGCTATTCACCTCCCAAGAAAAATTGCTGTTGCTCATTGTTTAGCCCATACTAAGGAGACTGATGCTATATCTTTTTTTTCTTTTTTTTTGAGATGGAGTCTCGCTCTGTTGCCCAGGCTGGAGTGCAGTGGCACGATCTTGGCTCACTGCAACCTCCACCTCCTGGGTTCAAGCGATTCTCCTGCCTCAGCCTCCCGAGTAGCTGGGATTACAGGCACATGCCACCACACTCGGCTAATTTTTGTATTTTTAGTAGAGACGGGTTTCACCATGTTTGCCAGGATGATCTTGATTTCCTGATCCTGTGATCTGCCCACCTCAGCCTCCCAAAATGCTGAGATTACAGGCGTGAGCCACCACACCTGGCCCTGATGCTGTATCTCTAGAGAATGATAGGGCCAACAAGGCAGCGAAATACACAGCCAGAAATGGATCCCCCCACCATCCTTTTTCCATGCAATTTATCTGTGTCTTTATCCCTGACTGATATTATTGATTATTGTTAGTATTACCAGGCAAATGCCCCACAATCTGAAAAAGACAAATGAATTCAAAAGGACAGCAAATAATTACCAGACAGATGATACATTGGACCAAATAGACTTCCCGTGGCTTCCTTTCTTTTGACCTTTTGGCTTGCACTTATCAAATGGGACATATGGAGATGGAGGATAGCAAAGGAACTAAAATATAATTAGTTCTACCCTGGCATCCACAAAACTTCTGGCCACACTGTTTCCCAGTGCACAACTTATAAATCTCATGGAATCTCTGGAGGAAACCAACATTCCTCGGGGAGTCCTCCAAGGCCCACACTGCCCCTTGCAGGACTCCAGATGGATTTTGTTGATTTACTTCTGGCTTTAGGGCATTCCCACTGTTTGGTTACTGTCTGAATGTTTAGTGGATGGATTGAATGCCACCGGACTGGATGTGCTGATACCACAACACTGGTGAAGAAATTAATAACTCGGCTGGCCAGGGAGGCTCACACCTGTAATCCCAGCACTTTGGAAGGCAGAGGTGGGCAGATCATGAGGTCAGGATTTTGAAACTAGCCTGGCCAACATAGTGAAACTGTGTCTCTACTAAAAATACAAAAAAATTAGCTGGGCGTGGTGGTGGGCTCCTGTAATCCCAGCTACTTGAGGCTGAGGCAAGGAGAATTGCTTGAACGTGGGAGGTGGAGGTTGCAAAGAGCCGAGATCGCACCACTGCACTCCAGCCTGGGCAACAGTGAGAGACCATGTTGGAAAAAAAAAAAGAAATTAATAACTGAGATTATTTCTCATTTTGGCTTTCTGTTACAGATTAAGTCAGACCAAGGAACTCATTTTACAGCAGAAATAAACAATTCGATTGCAAAAAAAAAAAACTCCTTTGGGGTACTCGTTAAAATTTCACACCCCATACCACCCCCAATCCTCAGCTCAAGTGAAATGTAAAAATTTAGACATAAAAAGGACATTAGGCTGTGTAAGATACAATGAATTTCTCTGAGTTTCTCTTCAAAGATTTAGCCTGCTAACTTCCTTGTCCTTTGTTCTCAAACTTAACTTTCCTGTTCCTCCTTGCCCCTAGTTACTGTAAAACAGCTTACCCCCTTCCCACCAGCTCTAATCAATAACTCACATCCTTTCCCTTGGTTATCTGTACGCGTTGTTCCCCCAAAACTGCATGTCTTACATGCTTCACCACTGTACCTCACGTACACTTTCCCTTCCATATTTAGAACAATATTTGCAAGTAGCTAATTGGATCAGCTCAGATTGTGCAGTCCAACCCCAGCCCATGGGGGAGTGACACAGAGGTAAGGACTATGCATCAGAGATAAAAACCCCCTGCTCCCCTTTGTTTGGTGTGCTCTTGCGATCTTGATTGACGGGAGTGGCACCCTTCTGCAGAAGTAAATTGCCTTGCTGTGAAAACTTTTGCCTGAGTGCTGGTTTCACTTTGTGGCACCAAGCATTTATTCCTGGAGCATTTTTATATTCAACAGGCTGGGTGCGGGGCTCACACCTGTAATCCCAGCACTGTGGGAGGCCCAGGTGGGCAGATCACTTGAGGTCAGGAATTCAAGACCAGCCTGGCCAACATGGTGAAACCCTGTCTCTACTAAAAATACAAAAATTAGTTGGGGGTGGTGGCACACCCCTGTAATCCCAGCTACTTGGGAGGCTGAGGCAGGAGAATCACTTGAACCTGGGAGGCAGAGGTTGCAGTGAGCCAGGATTGTGCCACTGCACTCCAGCCTGGGCGACAGTGTGAGACTCTATCTCAAAAAAAAGAAAAAGAAAAAAAGACGTTAGGAAAAATCTGTCAGGAAACTGAATTGAAGGGAGGAAAAACATTACCTCTTGTTGCCTTTTACCCCTTATGAAGTTTAGAATGCTCCAAATGGGAGGCGTGGATTAACTTCTTTTGAAATAGTGCTTGGTTTCCCTTTGCCTATTGGCATCTCTAAACCTTTCATTCCTGCATTGAGTGATCCCTGGATTATGGGGACTTCTTAAGTGAACAATGTGATGCTATGACAGCTACATAAAGGAACTAACTAGTAATCTTGGAGCATATAAATCATCAACAGGTAAAAAGGGCATAGCTTCTGCCAACTAACAAGCCTTGCCATCCTTTTTGACCAGGAGATTAGGTGTAAATCAAGGCTTTTAGAAGAAAGCATGCACTGTCACCAATGTTTTGGTCAACGATGGACCGAATATACAATGGTGTCCCCATCAGATTATAATGCCGGTGAGCCACCGCACCTGTCATCCTAGCACTTTGGTAGGCAGAGGCGGGTAGATCATTGAGCCCAGGAGTTTGAGACCAGTCTGGGCAACATGGTGAAATCCTGTCTCTACAAAAAATACAAAATAAACCAGTCATGGTGATGCGCACCTGTAGTCCCAGCTACTTAGAAGGCTGAGGTGGGAGACTCACCTGAGCCCAGGAAAGTCGAGACTGCGGTGAGCCATGATCATGCTACTGCACTCCAGCCAGGGCAACAGAGTGAGATCCTGTCTCAAAAAAAAAAAAAAAAAAAAGAAAGAAAGAAAAAAAAGATTATAATACCATATTTTTACTGTAGCTTTTCTATGTTTAGATATGTTTACATACAAAAATACTTATCATTGTGTGGGCTGGGTGGGCAGCCGATTGCGCAGTGCGGGGACTGATAGGCGAGCCAGTCTGGACCCCCATCCACTCACCCACCCCTCTGGGGCTACCTGAGGACTCTGACCACCCACCCCCCACCGCCTGGTGCCACCTGATGGAGCAAGATTGTCTAGCTTGGGGCCACCAACGCCGTAGATGAGGCTGCCAGGAAGGGGTTGGGGGCACACGAGCATCCCTCTCTGCCCTCGCCTCCCCCACTCCTCCACCCTGGCCTGCTGTGACTCCCTCCGGAGCCCGACGCGGACTTCCAGTAGTAGTCAGACGTTATCATCCTGTCATATTATGGAGCCATGTTCATCATGAATTTTTCCAAGCCCTGAATTATGCCGAACAAACATTTAAAAAAATGGAAAACTGTTTGAGACATAAACAGTTGTGCGATGTAATTTTAGTTGCTGGTGATGGCAGAATTCCAGCTCACAGATTGGTGCTCTCCTCTGGCTCAGACTATTTTGCTGCCATGTTTACTAATGATGTCAGAGAAGCAAGACAAGAAGACATAAAAATGGAAGGTGTAGAACCAAATTCATCGTGGTCCTTGATCCAATATGCTTATACAACCCGCCTTGAATTAAAAGAAGATAATACTGAGTGCCTGCTATCTACAGCTTGCCTTCTTCAGCTTTCACAGGCTGTAGAAGCATGTTGTAAATTTTTGTTTGTTTGTTTGTTTTGAGACAGAGTTTCGCTCTGCCGCCCAGTGTAGATCTCAGCTCACTGCAACCTCCGCCTCCCAGGTTCAAGCAATTCTCCTACTTCAGCCTCACGAGTAGCTGGGATTATAGGCGCCTGCCACCACGACCAGGTACTTTTTTGTATTTTTAGTAGAGACGGGGTTTCACCATGTTAGCCAGGCTGGTCTTGAACTCCTGACCTCAGGTGATCCGCCTGCCCTGGCCTCCCAAAGTGCTGGGATTACAGACGTGAGCCAGGGCACCAGGCCACATGTCATAAGTTTTTAATGAAACAGCTTCACCCATCCAGCTGTCTTGGAATTTGTTCTTTTGCTGATGCCTAAGGTTGTACAGATTTGCATAAAGTGGCTCACAATTATACTATTGAGCATTTCATGAAAGTAATCAGAAACCAGGAATTTGTATTATTACCAGCCAGCAAAATTGCAAAGTTCTTGACTAGTGATGACATGAACATTCCTGATGAGACAATATTGACTCCACTTCTTACTTGGGTCTGTCATGATTTGGAACAGAGATGGAAAGATCTAAGTAAACTTTTGGCTAATATTAGGCTACCTCTTCTTTCACCACAGTTCCTGGCAGACATGGAAAATAATGTACTTTTTTGGGATAATATAGAATGTCAGAAACTCATTATGGAAGCAATGAAGTACCATGTATTACCAGAGAGATGACCCACGTTACAAAGTCCTCAGGCAAAATCTAGGAAATCAACTGTTGGTACATTATTTGCAGTTGGGAGAATGGATTCAACAAAAGGAGCAACAAGCATTGAAAAGTATGACCTCTGTACAAATACATGAACTCCAGTAGCAAATATGAATGAGAGGAGGCTACAGTTTGGTGTCGCAGTGCTAGATGACAAACCGTATGTGGTTGGAGGAAGAGATGGACTGAAGACTTTGAATACTGTAGAGTGCTACAACCCCAAAACAAAAACAGGGAGTGTGGTGCCACCTATGTCCACACATAGACATGGCCTTGGTGTGGCTGTACTGGAAGGTCCCATGTATGCCGTAGGAGGGCATGAGGGCTGGGGCCATCTGAACACAGCGGAAATTTGGGACCCTCAGGCTCGCCAGTGGAATTTTGTTGCCACTGTGTCTACTCCTAGGAGCACAGTTGGTGTGGCAGTGCTAAGTGGAAAACTTAATGCAGTTGGTGGTGGTGATGCAAGTTCTTGTCTCAAATCAGTAGAATGTTTTGATCCTCATACTAGTGAGTGGACTGTTGGTAGAAGAGCTGAGGCAGGACTGGCTTGTCTGTCATAATGTAAAAGAGTCTTGAAAGATGTCCGGGGTCCACGGCCTAAAACCCCTCATGGCCTTTGGTACACCAAGCTCTGTGCCATAGGGTGGAAGGCTGCCCTGCCGCAACACAAATCTAAGCCCAGGGCATAAAACCCCGTGTGGCTTGGATGGAACCCAGGGCTCAGGGCATAAAACTCCTCATAGCCTCTGGAATGTGCACAGACTTGTTGGTTCCTTGCTTCTTACTCGTAAACATGTCCTCCATTATCTCAAGTAGCAGAGCATATTCTACATGCATCAAAGGAAGTGCTAAGCTGTCACAGCTACGCTTAATGCACCACTAGCTTTCTATCCCCACGTTCTCATGCCCTCACCTGTTTACCCTCACATCCTCACCACCTGCTTCTTTGTTTGATCACCAATAAATAGTGTGGGCTCCCAGAGCTCGGGGCCTTTGCAGCCTTCAATCTAGTGCCGGCCCCCCGGACCCACTTTATGCACTTTTAACTTATCTTTTCACATTCCTCTGACCCCGCCAGACTTTGTAGCCCCCACGGCCTGGTGTTAGGCCTGATCACCCCAACATGGACACTGTGTGCACGGATGTCAAAAAGGAGAGGTGGCATAGGAGTAACGACCCGGAGCGGACTGCTGTATGCTATAGGGGAACATGATGCTCTCACATCCAACTTGACTTCCAGACTCTCAGATTGTGTGGAGACATCTGATCCCAAAACAGACATGTGGACTACAGTAGAATCAATGAGCATCAGCAGAGATGCAGTGGAGGTCTGTTTACTTGTTGATAAGTTTTATGCTGTTGGGAGGTATGATGGACAGGCATACCTGAATACAGTGGAGGCTCATGATCCCAGACAAAGAGTGGACCCGGGTTGCTCCACTGTGCCTAGGAAGAGCTGGAGCTTGTGCTGTGACTGTAAAATTATAATTTAGTGCTCTGTTTTCTACATGAAGACACTCTCTTCCTTTATTAATTTAGTACAATTATTCTACCATCAATGGATGCATTTTTAGTAAACATGCATTGCCACAATCCTGGGCACAAAGTACCTGATCTCAAAGCAAAGATAGTAAAACAACGGAGGAAGGAGTGGATGGACCAGGATTAATTGCTTTCAATTCTTAGTAAATGAAAACCTGCAGCTGGTGGATTGTGAACAAACATTCCTGATGTAACATATTAGGACAGATGCACTGCTCTGGAACATAGCCCAGTGCTAGCTGGGGATCTCATTTATTCAGTCAAGCACATCTTACTCATGCGGGTGGCAAGCCACCCAGGTGCCGAGGCAAGAAACCGAGGGCACGAGCTGTTCCAGTATAATAAAATATATAAAATAAGAATAGTTATACTAGATATAGATCTTAGATATGATTATATATATATCATTAATCATTAGTTTGCAGCAATTATTCTTTATTCCAATATTATAATAATTCTTGCTCTACAATCATAACCTAGGAAAAACCAGGCCATACAGAGATAGGAGCTGAGGGAACATAGTGAGAAGTGACCAGAAGACGAGTGCGAGCTTTCTGTTATGCCCGGACAGGGCCACCAGAGGGCTCCTTTGTCCAGCAGTAGCGCCAGCATCTGGGAAGATGCCCGTTGCCAAGCAGACCCTGGTCTAGCGGTAGCGTCAGTGTCAAGGAAAAACACCTGCTACTTAGCAGACCGGGAAAGGGAGTCTCCCTTTCCCCAGGGGATTTTAGAGAAGACTCTACTCCTCCACCTCTTGTGGAGGGCCTGACATCAGTCAGGCCCGCCTGCAGTTATCCGGAGGCCTAACTGTCTCCCTGTGATGCTGTGCTTCAGTGGTCATGCTCCTAGTCCACCTTCATGTTCCATCCTGTACACCTGGCTCTGCCTTTTGGATAGCAGTAGCAAATTAGTGAAAGTACTAAAAGTCTCTGATAGCAGAAATAATGGTGTAAGCTCTCTCTCTCTTTCTCCTCTCTCTCTCTCTGCCTCGGCTGCCAGGGAGGGAAGGACCCCCTGTCCAGTGGACACATGACCCACGTGACCTTACCTATTATTGGAGATGGCTCACACTCCTTACCCTACCCCTTTGTCTTGTATCCAATAAATATCAACACAGCCTGGCATTTGGGGCCACTACCGGTTTCTGCATCTTGGTGGTAGTGGTCCCCTGGGCCCAGCTGTCTTTTCTCTTATCTCTTTGTCTTGTGTCTTTATTTCTACACTCTCTCATCTCCACACATGAGGAGAAAACTCACTGACCCTGTAGGGCTGGACCCTACATACTCATATCCAGATTTATTTTCTTACAGTGCAAACACACCAGATGGAACTTCTAAAATGTTGCTTTCTATAAGTTTATCATCTATGAGTTGCAGTAATTTGTTTGTTTGCTTGTTTGTTTAACCACAATCACTATTTTAATGATATACTAAACATAATACTATTTAGTTTTTTCAGAAACATCGGCATTGTATGTGTGTTGGTTGTGGATTTTGTTTCTAAAATTGGCTTAGTCCAATAAAGAAAGAAAAGCATTAAAGACTTAAAGCAATGATAACCAAATACAACCTTGATAAAATCTTTGAAGTCTATTTAAATATTCATTCCATTACATCTAGACTCACCAAAAACTGTATGTCATGATATTCTTAAGTCGAAGTTGAAACATGATGTTTCACATTAAATTTAAGATATGCAGCTTGGCGAGGTGGCTCATGCCTGTAATCCCAGCACTTTGGGAGGCCAAGGCAGATGGATCATGAGGTCAGGAGTTGGAGACCAGCCTGGCCAACATGATGAAACCCCATCTCTACTAAAAATGTAAAAATTAGCTGGGCATGGTAGTGCACGCCTGTAATCCCAGCTATTCAGGAGGCTGAGGCAGGAGAATTTCTTGAACCCAGGAGGCAGAGGTTGCAGTGAGCTGAGATTGTGCCACTACACTCTAGCCTGGGTGACAGAGTGAGACTCCATCTCAGGAAAAAATAAAATAAAAACAAATAAATTTAAGATATGCAAATTTAAATAGAGAAAATAAACGTTATATACCCTATAATGTTATTTCACCTAATTAGTACTTAATTATATGGATTTATTTTATATTATAAAAGATGTTTTGATTTTTTCTTTTGATATTGACAACATTGTTTGGATATTCTTATGTTGTCAAGGCTGCACCTGCCTCCCCTGCCTTATTTCTTATGTTTTGCCACAGTTAACCCATTGTGCTTCTTTGTAATCAAACGGTTTGGGGAGGGGGGAGAAAGGGCTTACTGAATGTCTAAAAAAACAAGTTTAAAGTGTTTGTTACCCAAAGTTTGGTGCATTTGTAAACTCTAATTACATATGTGAATGTTAATACCCTCAGTGAATTGTTATTGTTTGCAAAAATGCACTGGGCAGTAACATTTTGTGATAAATCCTACAATGCAAGATATAAGTAAAAGAAAATACTTATCATTGTGTTACACCATGTACATTATTCAGTATACTAACATGCTGTATGGGTTTGTAGCCTAGGAGCAGGTGGGCTACACAATATAGCCTAGGTGTGTAGTAGGCTATATCATCTAGGTCTGTGTAAGTACACTCTGTGATGTCTACACAACGACAAAAGTACCTAAAGATGCATTTCTCAGAATGCATCCCTGTCATTAAGCAATGCCTGACTGCACTGCTAACCACCTACACTGCCATCAAGTTGGGGAAAAGTCCTCCTGGATTCATGTGAATTACACCAAGATAGACCCAGATCAGCACTCTGAGGACAACTGGAAGACCCTCCCTACAGGTGACCTTAAAGTAACGATTTCCCAGACTGGTTCCCAGGCCTCAGAAGCAGATGACATTTTAAAGTAGACAGCTTTCCTCAAGATCATGGATCAAGAAACTTCACTTCCACCTGTTTTCTCACATTGGGCCTCCTTGTCCAAAAAGCAAAAACCAAAAGAACCTCTTCCTTTTAATGAAGCCTCCTTTTTCTCTGGCCATTTATTAAAAAGCTGACTGGAAATTGCTTGTCTCAATCCTGTCCTCTGATTCTCCCTCTGATCCTACACTATGGGTTCTCTTTGAGGTGGTGTCTCATTCTTAGTAACCCTTACTGTTTTCTCAACAGGTCAAAAACAGAGCTGACACCCCGTTACACCAACTCTCCAAATCTTGTCCACTTTAATTAATCTGATTACTGGTTATGTCAACATCTAGATCATGCAGAAGAACTTGAACCGATTTTCATTCCTGCCAATGCCAGGACTCGGTGGGCCAACTATGAAAACTGGGTATGTGACAGGGTGTGGCATCCACAACTGAGAAAACAACATCACTTTACTTCTTCTTTTGATGGATTAATTGGACATGGACAAACCTCTATGGAAGCTCAAGGTCTGTCCTGTGCTCAGGTAGTCATTAAATGAAGGAAATTTGCTGGGTATGGTGGCTCAAGCCTGTAATCTCAACACTTTGGCAGGCAGAGGTGGGCAGATTGCTTAAGCTCAGGAGTTGAGACCAGCTTGACCAACATGGTGAAACCCTATCTCTACACAAAACACACAAAAAATTAGTAGAGTGTGGTGGTGGGCACCTGTGGTCCCAGCTACTCAGGAGGCTGAGGTGGAAGAATCGCTTGAGCCCGGGAGGTGGAGAATGCAGTGAGCTGTGATCACACCACTGCACTTCAGCCTGGGCAACAGAGCAAGACCCTATCTTAAAAAAAAAGAAAATGTTCCCTTTGTTTTAAAAACAAGTATAGTGCTGAATGATTTATAGGTGACATAGCAAGATGATATTACAGTTGAATCCTGTGATTTGGTTCCACAGGTGGCATCCTCAAGCCTCCCATGAAGGTTATAGAAGGTTCTGGCACTGACTCTTATGGTACAAACACTTGTCATATCACTGGATGTTACAGTAAGCTCACAAGCCACCCTTGTATAATATGGGGTAGCTCATCTGCTCTCTTCATTAGGCTGCCAAACACTAGACATTAAATACGGGTAGACCAAAAATCTGGACAAACTTGGTCACATAACAAAACCAAGCCACAGACATGTCAAGGCCAAACTGCAGGCCTCCTATATTAGATATTTTGCAACCCATTCTCCTACAGACTGACAAAGACACATGGAAGATGGATGTGTGCAGATGCCTACATGATAGGTGACAAGACACCAGCCCCCAACCTGGTGGGTCATGAGTTCCACTCTGAACTTATCTGTGAACAACATTGGTCTTTTTATCTTATGTGGCAACAGATTATATAAAGGTTCTCACCTAAATGGTCAGGTCAATGTAGAATTGGATACCCAACACCTTCTATCACCAGGTGTCACTTTAAATGTCAGCCAAATTACAAACTTGGGCTCTTTTATACACAAAGTAATACCACATGAACATACTAGATATGACATCAGGGAAAACCCACTTGTATGTTACAATTCTAAGTTATTTTCAGTATTGAGATCCTTTTTTCCAGGCGTTGGAAATTATGTGACAGAAAGGGCAGTTCTAAATCTTTCCATAATAATAGAACAAGAGTTCAATATTACTCTGCAAAAATTGGTAGCACTCGGCCGGGCGCGGTGGCTCACTCCTGTAATCCCAGCACTTTGGGAGGCCGAGGCAGGTGGATCATGAGGTCAGGAGATCGAGACCATCCTGGCTAACATGGTGAAACCCCGTCTCTCCTAAAAATACAAAAAATTAGCCAGGCGTGGTTGCAGGCACCTGTAGTCCCAGCTACTCGGGAGGCTGAGGTCAGAGAATGGCCTGAATCCGGGAGGTGGAGCTTGCATTGAGCTGAGATCACGCCACTGCACTCCAGACTGGGTGACAGAGTGAAACTCCATCTCAAAAAACAAACGAAAAAAAAATTGGTAGCACTCCAATTAGAAGTTAATAGTTTAGGAATTTATGGCCCAGGTAGGGGCAGTCTCTCTTGGATCAGCAAGTCCTCAGGATGTCAAAGCAGTCCGGGCGCGGTGATCCACACCTGAAATCCTAGCACCTTGGGAGACTGAGATGGGAGACTCACTTAAGGCCAGCACTGGGCAACATGGCAAGACACCAGCTCTACAACAACAACAACAAAAAATTAAAAATTAGATGGGTGTGGTGGTACATGCCTGTAGTTCCAGCTGCTCAGGAGGCTGAGGCAGGAGGATCACTAGAGCCCAGAAGGTCAAGGCTGCAGTGAGCTATAACTGCACCACTGACTCCAGCCTTGGTGACAGAGCGAGACCCTGTCTCAAAAAACAAAACAAAATGTATGAATGAACCTAGGAAATCAATCAACCATAATAAAAAGTTTAATTAAAAGTAATGGCAAATCAGGCGTTGTGGCTCACGCCTGTAATCTCAGCACTTTGGGAGGCCAAGGCAAGTGGATCACTTGAGGCCAGGAGTTCAAGACCAGCCTGGCCAACATGGTGAAATCCTGTCTTTACTAAAAATACAAAAATTAGCTGGGCATGGTGGCCTGCACCTGTACTCCCAGCTACTTGGGAGGTTAAAGCAGGAGAATCGCTTGAAGCCAGGAGGTGGAGGTTGCAGTGAGGTGAGATTGCGCCACTGCACTCCAGCCTGGGTGACAGAGTGAGACCCTGTCTCAAATAAATAAATAAATAAATAAATAAAATAAAAGTAATGGCAAAAACCATGATTACTTTTAGACCAACCTAATATAATTGCACCACTGCACTCCAGCCTGGCAGAGTGAGACCCTGTCTCTACAAAAATGTAAAATAAACTTAAAAAATGTCAAAGCGTGATAAAGTACAGGACATAAAGACCATGATTAATCTAACACCCATCACTCCAATCTTTGCCTCTGTTCTGGCATTCCCCTATGTGTCTTCGCATCACCCTCCTTCTGGGTGACTCCTTTATGTTGTATTTTTTTGTTTTGTTTGGGTTTTTTTGTTAGTTTGTTTTGAGACAGAGTCTTGCTCTGTTGCCCAGGCTGGAGTGTAGTGGTGTGATCTTGGCTCACTGTTACCTCTGCCTCCCAAGTTCGTACCTCAGCCTCCCGAGTAGTTGGGATTACAGGCATGCGCCACCATGCCCTGCTAATTTTTGTATTTTTAGTAGAGACGGGGTTTTGCCATGTTGGCCAGGCTGGTCTCAGACTCCTGGCTCAAGTGACCTGCCCACCTCAGCCTCCTAAAGTGTTGGGAATACAGGCATAAGCCACCCCGCCCGGCCACCCCACTCATTTTGAATGTAAGTAGATTACCAATTCTGAAATGGGTTTTGAGCAGTAGCAACATTGACACAAATTTATAATATTTTCAAGAAGATACTTCCTTCAATATGTAAAATGCAACAGATATCATTTGCAATCATACATATGTACATATATACATACACACATATAATATATATATCTCACCATGGAATAAGTCTGAGCTGAAACATGCATTACTTAAAAAAGAAAAAACTTACAGACAGGATCTTGCTCTGTCATCCAGGCTGAAGTACAGTGGCACGATTGTGGCTCACTGCAGCCTTGACCTCCTGGGCTCAAGTGATCCTCCCACCTCAGCCTCCCAAGTAGCTGGGACTACAGGCATCAGCTACCTCGCCTGGCCTGCATGATCTTTATGAAGAATGTCATAGAAAGTTTTTGAAAGCGATTAAAGTTGACCTAAACAAGCGGGGATCTATGCTGTATGCCATGCTATTATTGGGGAGGAAAAAAATTCTCCTCTACATTCCTAGGGTCTCTGGAGATCTGGGCCTAAGAATAAAACTAAGACAGATTAGCTCTCTCCCTCTCCCTCTCCCTCTCCCTCTCCCCATGGTCTCCCTCTCCCCATGGTCTCCCTCTCCCTCTCTTTCCACCGTCTCCCTCTCATGCCGAGCCGAAGCTGGACTATACTGCTGCCATCTCGGCTCACTGCAACCTCCCTGCCTGATTCTCCTGCCTCAGCCTGCCGAGTGCCTGCAATTGCAGGCACGCACCGCCACGCCTGACTGGTTTTCGTATTTTTTTGGTGGAGACGGGGTTTCGCTGTGTTGGCCGGGCTGGTCTCCAGCTCCTAACCACGAGTGATCCGCCAGCCTCGGCCTCCTGAGGTGCCGGGATTGCAGACGGAGTCTCGTTCACTCAGTGCTCAATGGTGCCCAGGCTGGAGTGCAATGGCGTGATCTCGGCTTGCTACAACCTCCACCTCCCAGCCGCCTGCCTTGGCCTCCCAAAGTGCCGAGATTGCAGCCTCTGCCCGGCCGCCACCCCGTCTGGGAAGTGAGGAGCGTCTCTGCCTGGCCGCCCATCGTCTGGGATGTGAGGAGCCCCTCTGCCTGGCTGCCCAGTCTGGAAAGTGAGGAGCGTCTCTGCCCTGCCGCCATCCCATCTGGGAAGTGAGGAGCGCCTCTTCCCGGCCGCCATCACATCTAGGAAGTGAGGAGCGTCTCTGCCCGGCTGCCCATCGTCTGGGATGTGGGGAGTGGCTCTGCCCCGCCGCCCCGTCTGGGATGTGAGGAGCGCCTCTGCCCGGCCGCCACCCCGTCTGGGAGGTGAGGAGAGTCTCTGCCCGGCCGCCCCATCTGAGAAGTGAGGAGACCCTCTGCCTGGCAACCGCCCCGTCTGTGAAGTGAGGAGCCCCTCTGCCCGGCAGCCGCCCCGTCCGGGAGGGAGGTGGGGGGGTCAGCCCCCCGCCCGGCCAGCCGCCCCGTCCGGGAGGTGAGGGGCACCTCTGCCCGGCCGCCCCTACTGGGAAGTGAGGAGCCCCTCTGCCCGGCCACCACCCCCTCTGGGAGGTGTGCCCAACAGCTCATTGAGAGCGGGCCAGGATGACAATGGCGGCTTTGTGGAATAGAAAGGGGGGAAAGGTGGGGAAAAGATTGAGAAGTCGGATGGTTGCCGTGTCTGTGTAGAGAGAGGTAGACATGGGAGACTTTTCATTTTGTTCTGTACTAAGAAAGGTTCTTCTGCCTTGGGATCCTGTTGATCTGTGACCTTACCCCCAACCCTGTGCTCTCTGAAACATGTGCTGTGTCCACTCAGGGTTAAATGGATTAAGGGCGGTGCAAGATGTGCTTTGTTAAACAGACGCTTGAAGGCAGCATGCTCCTTAAGAGTCATCACCACTCCCTAATCTCAAGTACCCAGGGACACAAACGCTGCGGAAGGCCGCAGGGTCCTCTGCCTAGGAAAACCAGAGACCTTTGTTCACTTGTTTATCTGCTGACCTTCCCTCCACTATTGTCCTATGACCCTGCCAAATCCCCCTCTGTGAGAAACACCCAAGAATGATCAATAATAATAAAAAAAAAAAGACAGATTAACAGAAGAAAATCATTCAAGTTTTGCTAAATTTTCAGTGTACATGGGTACTTTCACAAGAGAATGAAGGCCTAAAGAAGTCACTAAAGTAGAAAAAGTTTCTATCCTTTAAATAGAAAAACAATTTTTTTTAAGACAAGGTCGGGCACGGTGGCTCACGCCTGTAATCCCAGCACTTTGGGAGGCCAAGGCGGGCAGATCACGAGGTCAGGAGATCGAGACCACCCTGGCTAACTCGGTGAAACCCCGTCTCTACTAAAAACACAAAAAAATTAGCTGGGCGCAGTGGCGGGCACCTGTAGTCCCAGCTACTCGGGAGGCTGAGGCAGAAGAATGGCATGAACCCGGGAGGTGGAGCCTGCAGTGAGCAGAGATCGTGCCACTACACTCCAGCCTGGGTGACAGAGCAAGACTCTGCCTCAAAAAAAAAAAAAAAAAAAAAAGACAAGACAAAGCGGTTTGGATTATAGGCAGTAAATTGTGGAGAAGGGACTAGGACATACATGCGGAGCAAAATTGGAAGATAAGGATTATTTTTAGTCGTGTGTTTATACAGATCCATTGGAACCTTGATTCACAGTCACCTGTGATGACAATGTTCTTCTCTTCCTGGTAAAGGGAGGGTGCTTTCTTATGGGAAATTGTGTGGCCTATTCTTAGATAGAAAAGGGCAGGTCAGAGAGTCTTTCCTGCATGTGCTATTTCTCAAGTGCCTTCAACTCAAAATAATTAATACTCCAAAGCAGCATATTTGGGGTGACGTGTCTTTAATTCCTTCATTTCCCCTGCTGCAGACTTTCCTAGAAGTTTCAGATATTAAAAGCTGAGTTGGTGGCTATGGAGATAAGAGCCAGATTCATAACGAGGGATCTACAAATGGGGAGAAGAACATAGATAAGAATAGGAATGAATAAGCTGAAAGGAACAGGTCTGAGCACATTTCCCCTTATCCTGTTAAACACACATCCCATTGCTGGGACAAGGTCAGTACAGCAGAAGGAATGCACCTCTTTTGTTTGATGGAGAGTGTTTAGCTTGTTCTTTAACAGGTGCAGCTTAGGCACTATTTGTCCCAGTGGATTTACACAGACCAGCCTTATCCACCAATGATCACACAAACTCCTCCTTTTGAGGCTGTCAGTGTGTCCAGGGTGCAACAATTTTGGAATACAGCAGAAGCTAAGCTATTAACTTCTTTTGTTGTGGTTGCTGTTGTTGTTTTGAGACAGAATCTCACTTTGTTGAGTGCAGGCTGGAGTGCAGTGGTGCGATCATGGCTCGCTGCATCCCTGGCCTCCTGGGCTCAAGTGATCCTCCCACCTCAGCCCCCAGAGTAGCTGGAACTACTAGTACACCCTGCTAATTTTTAAACTTTTTGTAGAGACAGTCTCACTATGTTGTCCAGGCTGGCCTCGAACTTCTGGGCTCAAGTGATCCTCCCTCCTCAGCCTTCCAAAGTGCTGGGATTAGAGGCCTCAGCCACCATGCCCAGATTGCTTTGACATCTTGAGGCCTTAGTGATCCAAGAGAGACTGCCCCTCCCTGGGCCAGCTAATTCCTACAGAGAATAAATGATTTGCTTATGGTGTGCCTTCGATGGGCCAATCAACCGATTCGTATCTCCAAGATAACTTTACCAGCCACCTTCCAGCAGGTTCCTGCCCCAAATCACTCCAGGGACAGGTACCAGGTAACAAAGGACCACTCCTATAACCTAGAGCCCATCACAGTTATTGAAACTAGCCAGGCCTAAGTCTGTTTACCCTGTCTTGCCTTCTTGCAAAAAACACAGAAAACCCTTTGTCCACCTTTCGCCCTCACTCATTCTGCCACCTGACTGGCCCTGGTGCTTCCCCATGGCCCTGCATGGTGTGGCGTGTCCCCCCTATCATCTTGGGAACTGTGAGTAACAAACTGTCTTTTAAATGGCTATCACCTCTGATCTGTGGCCTCGCCATACCTGAATAAAGCCAAAATCCCGGGTACATTTTAAAACAAGTCTACAAGTCAAGGAATGCCGGGGTGGTTGACGTAGTGGCACTCAGGAAGGCAAGGGCAGTGCCCCTGACCGGCCCCTTCTGCAGCGCGGCCATCCTTTACTACCTGTGCCGCAAGTACAGCGCACCATCGCACTGGTGCCCGCCAGACCCGCACGCACGTGCCCGTGTGGATGAGTTCGTGGCTTGGCAACACACGGCCTTTCAGCTGCCCATGAAGAAGATAGTCTGGCTCAAGGTGAGCAGGGCCACTTCTGGGGCTTGGGGACACGGGCACAGGGAAGTCAGGAAGGCTGGAGGCCAGTTCTGGCCCTGCTGACTGCCGGCGACCTCAAGCAAGTCTCCCTCCCTCTCTGGGCCTCATTTCCTCAGCTCCTTCTCCTGCCCGCCTTACAGAGCCGTCAGGAGTGTGGACTGAAACAATGGGCATGAAAGAGTCTTATTAGGGCGAGGGGAAGGGCATACGGGAGGGGCTGATGTGACTCACCCAGGACAGCATTCGAGGCATTTCATTCTGAACTAGAGAATCTCAGCGTCAAAAGGCCCACAGAAGGCCGGGTACGGTGGCTCACAACTGTAATCCCAGTACTTTGGGAGGCCGAGGCGGGCGGATCACTTGAGGTCAGGAGTTCAAGACCTACCTTGCCAACATTGTGAAACACCATCTCTACTAAAAATACAAAACTATTAGCTGGGTGTGGTGATGGGCACCTGTAATCCCAGCTACTCAGGACGCTGAGGCAGGACAATTGCTTGAACCCAGGAGGTGGAGTTGGCAGTGAGCCAAGATTGTGCCACTGCACTCCAGCCTGGGCGACAGAGTGAGACTCCATCTCAAAAAACAAAAACAAAAAAGAGTAAAGGCCTATAGAAAATTGGAAGATGACAAATAACCAGTACATGTGTCTCTACTTTGAATTCTATGCCTGTGACAGACATCACTAATCAATCACAGGACTTATGCCTGCTGAGCTCCCCAAATCCTTGTGAACACATGGTTCCCGGCAACTTCCACCAATCAGAACTGCTAAAAGAGGTGAAACTGCTTTATATCCTGGGAAGTGTTCAATATCTATCCAGCAGACAAGAGTACAGAGACCTGGCAGGGCAGGTGGCCCTGGAGTGCAGCCTCCTCTTCCCTCCTCTTCCCAACCCTGGCCAGTTGCTGATCCCAAAGATAACAGGGGAGGAAGTTTCAGCTGAGAAGATGGAGCATGCAGTGGAAGAGGTGAAGAACAGCCTGCAGCTCTTCGAGGAGAAGTTTCTGCAGGATAAGATGTTCATCACCGGGAACCAAATCTCACTGGCTGACTTGGTGGCCGTGGTGGAGATGATGCAGGTGTGGAGTGGGTTGGAGGAGGGGTAGACCCTGGGCAGAGGTAGGACTCCTCTGTGACCAATGGGGCCATCACTTGAGGATAGGCTGGTGAGGTGGGAAAGGCAAGCAGAGCTGTCATGGGGGCTGCGGGAGCGAGGTCTGGGGCCCTGGACTCAATCTGGGGGCAACAGGAAGCACAGAATGTTATGAATCAGGAAGGATCACAGTTCTCCACACTTGACAAAGATTCTTCGGTGTGGGAGGACCTGGAGGGTGAGCCTGGGATAGAGAAGAACACTGCATTTCCTGCTCAATCCACCAGCATCCCAGATACCTCCTCCTCTTGCTGGACTCTCCAGGAAATGTTCACTGGCTTCCTGGGTGTCCTTCTGGCCCTGCCTGTTTCCCAGAGCTCCAGACAGACAGCTCTGGAGGACAGCTCTCGTGGCTGGGTCTGAGGGGCATCCACTGTGCATTTGGAGGCACACCTGAGTGTGGGGCATTTATGTGGCCTCTACATGCAGGGGAGGGTGACCAGTTCTGCTTGTCAAGACACTGGCCAGGGTCTCAACTGGCCATCCTGCACACCAGCTAGGGCACTGCACACTGACCAAAGAGACTAATTTGCATATCAGCCAGAGATATGCCCGAGAGGAGGGACCTGGGGTCCTGGTGGATTGACCAGAAAATGCAGTATTCTTTTCCTTATCCCAGAGATCTCTGGCTGATATGAAAATTAGTCTCCTTGGTCTGTTTGCAGGGCAGACCAGCACCAGGAAAAATCATTCTGGCCTGCCCCAAGGGTTCAGCCATATGCTTCGTCCCCACCCCTTACATTTCACCCACACACACCCATTCTTGGCCTTCCCAAAGATCTTGGGTGCAAACCAAACTACAGGGTACACTCTTAGTGAGCCAGCCAAACTGCAGGGTAGACTGCCCGCCAGGTCTCCCATCTTAGCCCCTGAGCTTGATCACAGTGGGAGGCTAAACATGGAGGAAAAAACCTGAGTTCTCTCCCTCATCCACATATACACACCTGGGATAAGGGGTTTCCCTGGAAGAAGGCAGGATTCATGCGAGATCGCAGGCTGGAGAAGTGGGAGGTGCCTGGGCCAGGAGCCCTCTCAGCATGGTTCAGAAGGCTTGGAGCAAGAAGACCGGTGACTAAGGACTCTGAGGGATTCTGGATCCTCCATCCCCACCTACATCTATTACATAGTCTGTGACCCCTTGCTCAGGCCTTGGGGGTCAGCAGCCTAATTCTTTGCATAGGTACATGTTGGGCGCATGGGCCTGAGGCTGTGGGAGAGGACACGGGTGAGGCTGGTCCCCAGACTGACCACGTCTTTGTCTTCGTCTATCCACAGCCCATGGCAGCCAACTATAATGTCTTCCTCAACAGCTCCAAGCTAGCTGAGTGGCGTATGCGGGTGGAGCTCAATATCAGCTCTGGCCTCTTTAGGGAGGCCCATGATCGACTAATGCAGTTGGCCGACTGGGACTTTTCAACACTGGATTCAATGGTCAAGGAGAATATTTCTGAGTTGCTGAAGAAGAGCAGGTGACCCTAGGCGCAGCCTGTCCCGCAGGGCCTGGCTGGCTTAGCAATCTGAGCCACCTTCCTTAAAGGAAATACTAAAACAAAAACAAAAACAAAAACAAAAAACTGTTCTTTGCCTAATAAAGAACTGGAACAACCATCACAGCTGCTGAGCAGCAGACAGTTGGCATATGCATAGGGTCTGATGTGGGAGTGGGTGGTGGTTACAGATCCTTCCAGTTTCCAAAAAGAATTTTAAAAGTAAAGGGTTAAATATGGTTACATTGTGAGTAATAATAGTTGGTGACTTCAATACTCCACTTTCAGTAATAGAAAAACTACAGAAGACCATCAAGGAAATAGGGAATTTGAAAAGCACGATTAACCAATCGCATACACTAGACATGAACAGAACGTTCCACCCGACAGGAGCAGAATAAGCATTCTTCTAAAGAGCACATGGAATATTCTCCAGTATAGAGCATATATTTGGTCCTAAGTCTCAAATTTAAGATGATTGAAATCACACAAAGTATGTTCTCTGGACACAGTGGAATAAAGTGAAAAATCAAGAACAGAAGGAAAACTAGAAAATTCACAAGCACATAGAAATTAAACAGCACACTCTTAAACAAACAATGGGTTAAAGAAGAAATCACAAGGGACATCAAAAAGTATCTTGAGCGAATAAAAATGAAAACACAACATGCCCAGATTTATAGGATGCAGCAGAAGCAGTGCTAAGAGCAAAATTTATAGCTGTAAACACATAAGTTAAAGAACAACGATCTTGAATCAATAACCTAACTTTACACCTTAAGGAACTAGAAAAATAAGAGCAAACCTAACCCAACACCAGTAGAAAACAGGAAATAATAAAGATTAGAATGGAGATAAATGAAATAGAAAATAGAAAAGCAATAAAATCAATAAAACCAAAAATTGGATCTTTGCAAAGATCAACAAAATTGGCAAACCTTTACTTAGAATAGCCAAGTGAAAAAAATAAGGGTCAAATTATTCACCAAGAAAGAAAGTGGAGGCTGGGTGCAATGGCTCACACCTGTAATCCCAGCACTTTGGAAAGCAGAGGCAGAAGGATCACTTGAGGCCAGGAGATTGAGACCAGCCTGGGTAACACAATGAGACTTTTTTCTAAAAAATATATATTTTTAAAAAATTAGCTGGGTGTGGTGGTGCATGCCTGTAGTCTTAGCTAACTGGGTGGATGAGGTGGGAGGATCACTCGCGTCCAAGAGTTCAAGGTTACACCGAGCTATGATTGCACCACTGCACTCCAGCCTGAGCAACATAGAAGAACCTTATCTCAAAAAACAAACAAAAACAAAAATGAAGAAACTAAAAGGAAACCAGAAAGAAAGAAAATGGAGACATCACATTGGTCATAGAGAAATACAAAAGTTTAGAAAGAAATACTATGAATAATTATATGTGGACAATTTAGACAACCTAGATGAAATGGGAAAATTTTAGAAACACACAATCTACCAAAACTGACTTAAGAAGGAAGATAAAATTGTAATAGACCTGTAACAAATAAAGAGATTAAAATATTAATTATTTTTAAAAATTCCACAAAGAAAAGCCCAGGACCAGATGGTTTTACTGGTGAATTCAACCAAAAGCTTGAAGAACTAACACAAAGCCTTCACAAACTCTTCCAAAAAATAGAACAGGAAGAAATATTTTTCAACTCATACTATGAGGCCAGAATTACTCTGATACCAAAGACAGAAAAAGACATTACAAGAAAATAAAGTTACAAAGCAATATCCTTATAAATATAGATGTAAAAATCCTCACAAAATATTAGCAAATCAAATCCAGCCGCATATTAAAAGGATCATACACCTTGACCAGGTAGGATTTATCCCAGGAGTACAAATGCAGTTCAACATACAAAAATCAATCAATGTAGCATACCATGTTAATAAAAAGTCACATGATCATCCTAATGCAGAGAAGGCATTTGACAAAATCTAACATCCTTTTACGATAAAATTACTCAGCAGATGAAGATGAGAAAGGAACTTCCTCAACTTGGCAAAAAGCATCTATGAAAAACCTATAACTAACACCACACTTCACTCATTGTGAAAGATGGAGCATTTCCCCCCTAAGATCAGGAACAGGACAAGAATGTTCATTCACACTACTTCTACTTATTAGGGCAATTAGGCAAGAAAAAGGAACAAGGTGGAATCTAGATCAGAAAGAAAGAAGTAAAACCATCTCTATTCACAGATGACATTATAGGAATTCTTAAGGAACTCACTTAACCATTAGAGCTAATAAACAAGTTCAAGGCTGGGCACAGTGGCTCACACCTGTAATCCCAGCACTTTGGGAGGCTGAGGCAGGCAGATCATGAGGTCAGGAGTTTGAGACCGGCCTGTCCAATATGGTGAAACCCCGTCTCTACTAAAAATACAAAAATTAGCTGGGCGTGGTGGCGCATGCCTGTAGTCCCAGCTACTCGGGAGGTGGAGACAGGAGAATCACTAGAGCCCAGGAGGTGGAGGTTGCAGTGTGCCAAGATTGTGCCACTGCTCTCCAGCCTGGGTGACCGACTGAGATTCCATCTCAATAAAATAAAATAAGTTCAGCAAGGTTGCAGGATACAAGATTAATACACAAAAATCAGTAGTATACATTTGCAATAAAGGATCAAAAACAAAATTAAAACCACACTTCCATTTATAATGGCATCAAAAAGAATAAAATAGTTAGAATAAATTTAACCAAAGAAAAGCAACACTTCAACACAGCAAACTACAATGTGCTGTTGAAAGAAATTAAAGAAGTGCCACCAAGCAATCTGACCTGAGAAAACATGCAGGTTCAACAGAATGAGTCCTGCTCTTCAGCAAGCACCCATCTTGTGTTCAAGCTGGGTCTATGAGGCAAGTTTGGCAACATAGACAAGGACATGCAACCAAATCTGTAATGTAGAAAAGGCCAAGGGAAGGTGGATCAATCATTGGAAACATTCAACAATCCATGGAAGAAATGTTAAAAATAGAATCTCAGGGTCTGATGAAGTTGGAATATCACTCTTCTATGTATTTCGGTTGGAATCTGTTGAATGATTGGATAAAGTAAAAGATAAGTATAGGGAATTATTAGGTAGCATTAAATGTGTAATAAATGTAAAGAGAGGGAGCAAGTGCATACAAGGAAGTGTGCGCTACTGGGTTTCTGTTGAATTGTTCATGGAAGACCATCAGCAGTTCAAATCCAAAAGCCTGTCTTAAAATTAGCTGAGTGTGGTGGCGTGTGCCTGTAATTCCAGCTACTTGGGAGGCTGAGGCAGGAGAATCACTTGAACCCAGGAAGCGGCGATTGCAGTGAGCCAAGATCGCACCACTGTACTCCAGCCTGGTGATAGAGCGATACTCCGACTCAAAAAAAAAAAAAACTTGTCTTGAGGGACTATGCCAGGCTTTACAGCTACAAACATCATGGAGGAAGCTGTCTGCCCATTAGAAGCCCAGAGCCCGGAGGGACAGACTAGAGCAAATCCTCTCCCTCGTTGGAGCTAGATGGGAACACAAATCTATCTGATAACTAACATGCAATTTTACATCTCTTACCTTGTTTAATCCTCACAACCACCCTGATGAGTAGTAGTATTATCCCCATTTTGTAGATGAAGAAACAAGTTCTTCAAGGGGAAGGGATCCTCAGAGTAGCATATGAATGAGAGGCAGAACCAGAGTCAGGACCTATATCTTGTCTTCTCCTTCCTAAAACTAGAAAAGTACCCACAACCAGGCAATGCTTTTGGTGCAGAAAAAGCAGTAGTGAACAAAATAGGCAAAAATGTCTGCCTTTAGTGCTCACATTGTTGTGGAGAAAGACAAACAATAAGCACAGTAGAGAAGTAAAAATTAGAATGTTTTGCTAAAAAGTCCATAAAATTGAATATTATTCAGCCATAAGAAGGGATGAAGTACCGTTATATGCTACAACATGGATGAACCTTGACACCATTATGCTAAATGAAAGAAGCCAGTCATAAAAGGTCACATATTTCATTATTCCATTTGAATGAAATCTCCAGAATAGGCAGCTACTTCCTATCCACAGAGGTAGAAAGTAGATGAATGGTAACCAGGGGCTAGGGGAAGAGGGGAATGGGGAGTGACTCTTTATTGGGTACAGAGTTTCTTTTTTGGGTGATGAAAATGATCTAGAATTAGATAACTGTGATGGTGACAAAACTTTGTTAATATACTAAAAACCACTGAATTGGCTTTAAACCAATTGAATTTTAAAGTATACTTTGAAAGGGTGGATATTATGGTATGGGAATTATATCTGATAATGAAAATATGATTACATTGTTCAAAAGCATAGGGAAGCAGCTACAAAAAATATGAATCATAAATTGTGGCTCTTTTTATTCTGAAGTGTAGAAATTGAATATTATAGCTCAAAATATAAAACAAAAACAAAGAAAGCTAAAAGCCCTTCCATTTGGCCATCTTGGAGTAAGACCTACCACAGTCCAGTGCCTTTTACTCAGCCCCACAGCCTAGCCTATTGTTTACATGAAACCCTGTAGCTTCCACTCCTGTTTGGTGGGTGTAAAGTTATGAGTGACCATATTGGGGGAAGGGAGGAAAACTCCCCATAAACGTGTATCCTGGGGGCCTAAGGAGAGACGATGGCCCAGGTATCAGAACATGATATGCCTACTTGTCCCTATCTCCTTGTCCACACATAAGGCTTGGAAGGCAGCCATGTTGTATATCACGTGATCTCCAACCAATGAGCTGATTGGCTTCTTCAACAAGAGCCCAGGTAGAGATTGGTGTCTAGAGGAGCCCATCAGATTCTAGAGAATCAGGCCTTTGGCAGTGGAAACTCCCCTGGGAGGATGTCATAGGGTCCTCAGGGTCAGACACAGAGAGAAGGAGACATTGGGACAGAGAGAAGAGGCAAGAAAAAAACATATCTTGCAGTCTGTGAGGAACAGAGTGGCCCCCAGGGGCCTCCACCTCAGGTTCTGGATCAAAGCTCCTCAAAGTTTAAGGTGCATTTGGATCACCTGAGGATCTTATGAAAATAAACTCTGTCTGATTCAGTAGGTCTGGGTTTGGGGGTGGGAGCCTGTTAGTATATTTCTAACAAGCTCCCAGGCAAGGCTGCTACTGCTGCTGATCTAATGACCACAGTTTGAGGCTGGACAGAGTGGCTCACACCTGTAATCCCAACACTTTGGGAGGACAAGGCAGGAGGGTCTCTTGAGGGTAGAACTTTGAGACCAGCCTGGGCAACACAGCAGGACCTCGTCTCTAAAAAACAAGAGAGAAGAAGAAAAAGGAAACAACAAGAAGACTCAACTAGAGTAGGAAGCAGTTAGGCCACATATCTCTTCAATGGAGAAAAGAGCTTTTTCTTGAGTAAATTGGAGTGTACCCATGTTCCTTGTCAATGATGGTAACTTTAAATGTCAAGAATGTGAGAGAGGCCAGGGGTGGTGGATCACACCTATAATCCCAGCACTGTGGGGGGCTGAGGTGGGAGGATCACTTGAGCCAAGGAATTCGGGAGCACCCTGGGAAACAAAGTGCGACCCCGTCTCTACAAAGTCAAAAAATTAGCCCAGACTGGTGGCATGCGCATGTGGTCTGAGCTACATGGGAGGGTGAGGCAGAAGGATTGTTTGAGCCCAGGTTGAGGCTGCAGTAAGCTAAGTTTGTACCACTGCACTCATTCCAGCCTGGGCAACAGCAAGACCCTGTCTCGAAAAAAAAAAAAAAAAAAGAATAGTAGAGCCCAGGGGAAGGTGTGGCCCTGGGGTAGGCGCTGGGAGACTGGAGAACAACTGTTAGTGGTCCCATCACTGCCCAGAGCAGACAGTGCCCTGTCCACCCTCATGAGATCTTTGAACTCCTTGGACAGGACTGGCTATAAATGAAAATGTGGGGACCCTTATTTTTAACTTGTTAAGAATGTTAAGATGGCAACAGCAAAGCTTTAAACCAAGTGCATGGCCCTTCTGCGTTGTAGGCCCACAAGGCCGACACTGCTATTCACATCCTTGTATGGTCCCCTACCCTGGAGCGTGGCTGGGGCCTGTGCTCTACTGCTTGGAAGCAAGGCTTATCCCTAAGCCTTATTTTCGGGAAGGTGGATTTGAGAGCTACTATCCCACATCCTTGCTTGGTGCCCTGTGAATAAATCTTTTCTCTTTTGCAAAACTCGTGTCATGGTGATTAATTTACTGTGCAATGCCAGGCACTGTTGGAAACCTCTGGATAGGCCTCACAGGGCCTCAGCCATCTCGGGGAGGCGTTAGCTAGAGTGTAACAAATATGACCCCAGCAACTGGGGAGGGACAGCTCATTCCTTCATGAGGTGTGGGGCTGGCAGCCCCGCAGGCAGTCAGCCACCCTTCCTCTCTGGCCTCCGTCCTGGGCACTGGGCCCAGGCACTGGGCAAGGAGGCTGCTGCACCTCCTTTCTCCTCTTCCTTTTTTTTTATTTTTTGAGACGGAGTATGGCTCTGCCGCCCAGGCTGGAGTGCAGTGGCGTGAGCTCGGCTCACTGCAAGCTCCGCCTCCCGGGTTCACGCCATTCTCCTGCCCCAGCCTCCCGAGTAGCTGGGACTACAGGCGCCCGCCACCCCGCCCGGCTAATTTTTTGTATTTTTAGTAGAGACGGGTTTCACCGTTTTAGCCAGTATGGTCTCGATCTCCTGACCTCGTGATCCGCCCCCCTCGGTATCCCAAAGTGCTGGGATTACAGGCGTGAGCCACCGCGCCCAGCCTCTCCTCTTCCCTTTTAGTGGGAAATATACCTGCAGCCTAGATTCCCAGAAAGGGGTGGTGAGAGAGCAGACACGCCACTGATTGACCCGAAGTTCTAGGAGCCAAGGGATGAGTGAAGAGGGCGTGGCCGGACTCGGGGCTCCTGGTGAGGTGCACCGCTGCAGGCTCGGTGACCCAGCAGTTCCTGCCCAACCCTCACCTACCCCCAGCCGTTCCTGTCCGCCGCCCCCAACCAGCCATTCCTGCCCGCAGTTCCTGTTCCCGGGCCTGTCCCCGGGTTTGTCCCCAGGGCCCGTCCCCTGGGTTTAGGTCTGCCCTCCCACGCCCCACCCCATTGCCCCCGCCATGGGTCTGCTGTCCCAGCCCTGCCGTTCAGTCTACATCTTCGCCAAGAATGGCATCCCCTTCGAGCTTCGCACAGTGGAGCTGACCAAAGCTGGGCTGGGCAGGCAGGCCCAGGGGATATTGGCCGCGGATCCCTGCCTGTCCCCGCTGCTTTGCAGTTGGGCCAAGAATGCAGACTAACACGAAGAATCAGACTCTCCGGTGTGGAAACTATTACATAATTATCTATGTTATTATTTTTACTTTTTGGAGACAGCATCTAACTCTGTCACTCAGGCTGGAGTGCAGTGGCACAATCATGGCTCACTGCAGCCTCGACCTTCCAGGCTTAAGCGATCCTCCCGCCTCAGCCCCTCAAGTAGCTGGGACTACAGGTGCCCACCGACATGCCTGGCCAATTTATTATTATTATTATTATTGAGAGGAGGTCTTGCTGTGTTTCCGAGGCTGGCCTAGAACTCCTGGGCTCAAGTGATCCTCTTGCCTTGGCCTCCCAAAGTGTTGGGATTACAAGCATGAGCCGCCATGCCCCACTGGTTGTCTATTTTAATAGAGGCTTGATCTTTGCTTGTGAATACAAAACATTCTTCAAAATACAGGTTTAGAGAGGGCACAGCAGGCACAGAACGAGGGTAGGGAAATGGAGTGGGGCAAGAATATCTTCACCCCATGTGCTTGGAAAAAACAATGAAACTGCCTCGTTGTTTCCTAAGTAAAATAGTCCCTGTCTACCCCTGCCTGTGTCTCTTCCACTTTTGTATTATTTGTTTGTTTATTTATTTATTTATTTATTTATTTATTTATTTATTTATTTATTACAGTGTCTCAATCTGCAGCCCAGGCTAGAGGGCAGTGGCATGATCCCGGCTCACTGCAGCCTTGACCTCTCAGGATCAAGTGATCCTCCCAACTTACTCCTCCTAAGTAGAATAGTTGGGACTACAGGCACGTCCCCGTGCCCAGCTACTTTTTTCTTTGGTGTGTGTAGACGCATGATTTTGCCATGTAGACCAGGCTGACCTTGAACTCCTGAGCTCAAGTGATCCTCCTGCCTCCTCCTTCTAAAGTGTTGAGATCACAGACATGCACCACCATGTCTGGCCCTGGGTCTCTTCCACTTTTATGTATTTCTTGGCATTCTTCTGCCTTTTCCTTTTCCTGCATCTGACTTGCTCTATCCCATGGGGCTTCTCACCCAGCTGAAGGGGCTACTCCTAGAGGCTAGAGGCTGGAGGGCCCTGTGGCAGGGCAGTGGGGGAGGCCAGCACCCTCACCCTGAGCTCCAGCGTTTGCTGGTCTGGCTGGCATACAGAGATGCAGCTGGAGCACAATTCAGTGGAGGAGGCAGGGCTATAACTAAGCAGTAGGGCAGAGAGCAGAGCCAGAGCCCCCTGGGCAGGCCAGAGGGAGGACCCTGCTCAGCTGACTCTTCCCAACTGCTGCCCTTGGTACAACCAGCTTGAGTCACCTGCTACAGAACAGGGGCTGGACACAGAAGCAGTCTGTGGAGGGAGAATGGGCAGGGGTGTGTATGTCCATTCAGTAGAAGGGCAAAGAGGCCCACATGTAGGCCTATGATCAGACTGGAGCCTGGCTTGACTGAGGTCCTCTGATCCAAACACCAGGCACCTAATGCGGCCTCTAGCACTGGCCTAGAGTGCTAAAGTGAGTCAGACCTGGGAACCCCCACTGGGGAGGGAGCCTTGAGAGTTTGGCATAAGAAAGCAAGAAGAGCTGAGCCACCGGAGGCTAAGTAGCTGAATGGGGCAGGGATTCCCAGCAAGAATGAGGTTGGTCTGAGGGTTGGGAACATGTTTGGCTGGGACTCTGGGGTATTGACAGGTCACCCAGCCTGGCCAGTAGGGCCTAAGTCCCCAGCTGGGATAGGAAGCTGAATCAGAGGGGGCAAGCCTAGAGCCCAGGGAGGAGGCTGGAGGGGTCTGACCTATGGATGGAACTGGCTGGGGGTGGGGTGTGAATTACAGCTCCAGGGAATTGTCCTTGAGCCATGCTTCAAGGAGCTGGACACAGGAAAGATGGCCCTCTGATGGGGTCAAGGTCTGTGACCCAGTGACTAGCAGAGAGGCTTCCTCTTCCCTGATGCCTCCCAGATAGGGGCCTCAGAAAGCTGCTGCTGGGATTTTGGGGTGGGGGTGGGCAGAGACCTCAGAGAACTCTGGGTTATCCCCACTCACCTCTCTGATCTTTCCTGCAGGCCAGCAGCACAGCGATGCCTTTGCCCAGGTGAACCCCCTGAGGAAGGTGCCGGGCCTTGAAGGATGGGGACTTCACCTTGGCTGAGAGGTAACCGGTCCGTGGGCTGCTGCCGGGCCTTGTGGGGCCAGTCGGCTGTCTGTTCACTGTTGATGGCTTGGATCATGGACTGTGGGCCCTGCACCAGCCCCAGGGTGAAGAATGGGTGGAGGCAGGCAGAGGTGCCCAGTGTTGACAAGGGTTATAGAAGTCCCCTCCTGCATTGTACAAGTGAGGAAACTGAGGCTGGAGGAGGGGAGGGACTTGCACAAGGCCACAGGGCCCAGTCTGCTTCCGGGCCTCCTCACCGCCAGCCTTCCCCTCCGAAAAAAGGAGAGTGCTAAGTTTCGAGGAGCGGCTGTACCAGGCATCTTAGTGCTACCATTTTGCCCACAAATCCTGTGGGGCAAGTGCTGTTTCCCTGGAGAGTCGAGGGACCACTCAGCGAGCTTCAGTGGCTATTTGCTAAACATCCACCAGGGCCAGACCCCATTTAAGCCCTGGGGCTTGAGCAGTGAACGTGTCTGCGTCCTTCTCCTCATGGATCTCACATTCCATTAATAGAAGGGGGAGCTGACAGTAACCCATGTAAACATGGAACATATCGGATGTTGATGGATGCCATGGAAAAAATAAACAGGGTAAGAGTGGGGGTGTGTGTCATTATGAGTAGGATGCTGAGGGAAGACTCCCTGGAGGAGGTGGCATCTGAGCAGGGAGCTGTAGGAATGTGCAAGGCATGAGGAGAAGGGTGTTCTCACTGGAGGGAAGAGTGAGGGCGAAGGCTCCAGGTGGGACAATGCATGGGGTTCAGACTGGAGAGCAACGGGCCAGGGTGGGTGCAGTGAGCAGGAAGAGCAGGAGGTCACGACAGAGGGGAGCATGGGACACTGGGAAGGCTTTGGCTCTTACCGCAGGTGGATTGAGTTGTTGGAGAGTTTTGAGCAGAGGAGAACTGTGATCTGACTTACGTCGTAAAGGATCCCCCTGGCAGGGGTGAGAAAGCCACTGCAGTCATCTGGCATGCAGCGCTGGAGCCCCAGACCAAGGTGGTGGTGGTGCAGGGTTGCGGGGGATTGTGGTCAGTTCTGACTTTTATTGAAATCTAACTGCAGGGTTTGCTGAAGGGTTGGAGGTGGGTGGGAAAAATGAAAGCCAAAACCAGCCTCCAGGTTGGTGGCCGCATGGTGGCGTCCTTTACCGAGGCCACATAGTGCCTCCTTGGTGGAGCTGGATTCACATTCAGAGCCTGGGATCACTGGATGGTCCAACACCCATAAAGGCATGATGAGCTCTGAGGGTCAGACTGCACAACCCTTCACCATAGGTGAACGGGAGTTGGGACAGGGTGGGAAGCAATGCTGCCATGTCACCTGGAAGGCTCTGTCCCTGCTGGCCTTGCTCCTGGCCCTGTCCACACTTTGGATATGTTGGGGAGATATCCAACATGCTCTCGTTCTTCAGACTCACACTGGGTGCCCCTTCCTCCTGGAAGCCTTCCCTGAGCCCCTGCTGAAGTTCATGACATTTTGTTTCTTCCTTGCTGCCCTTAGTTGAGATGACAGTCTGGCCCCGTGTAGGGCTGTGTGACCCTGGGTAGTTACCTAACCTCTCTGAGCCTCACATCCCTCCTCTGCATCATGGGGATAGTGAAAATGCCCCAGAAAACGGTTGAAGAGTGTTCAGGGCATGTCTTCTGCCCCTGCCATGTCCCCCCAGTGTGGCTAGCTTGCTCTATATGAGCTGCATGTACAAAGCACCTGACCACTGGTACCTCCAGGACCTGCAGGCCCGCGCCCATGGGGATCAGTACCTGTCATGGCAGCACATGGCCCTGCAGAGTAGCTGCTGCTGGGCCATGTGGCAGACGGTGAGCCATGGAGGGCAGGGACACCTCCCGGGATGCCCAAGGGATGCTGCTTTCACTTTACAAAATTCTGTTTAGACCTGAGACCAAATCCTGGAATGCCAGAGACTGCCTAATTCACCCAACTTGTTTCATAGGAGGGAAACCAAGGACCAGAGCCAAGGAAGGATTCCCCTAATGTGCCTTAATTCCACAGCTACCACCTGCACACTTACACTCACACACTGTTCGACACACAGCCACACTCACACACACATCCACCCACGTCCACCCACAGTCACACGATGTATCACATTCACACGTATACACCCACACACACAATCATAACATTTACACACAGTCACACAGTTAACTCCTATACACACATATACACCCACACAATCACACAACTCACTCATATTCAACAAAGTCACACAACTCACTCACATTGACACACATACACACCAACCCCACACACAATTCACATACATACACACACATATACACCCACATACACAACCACACCATTCACTGACATTAATACAAAGTCATCACACAGTTCACTCCCACACACACACATACACCTCACACACACAGGCACACAATTCACACCAACAAAATCACACAGTTCACTCATTCACACACATACACCCACATACACAAATTCACACTGCTCAGTCACATTTACACACCATTCAAATTCACACACATATACACCTACATACACACAGTTCACTCACATCACACACATATACACCCACATACACACAGTTCACTCACATCACACACATATACACCCACACATAAACACAGTCACACAATTCACTCACGTTCACACACACAGTTCACTGACATTCGCACACATACACACACACCACACACAGGCAATTCAGTCACATGGCCGAAAGCCAGTCCTTACCTTCCTATAGTTCCTTTCCCAGTGTCACCTCAGCCTTTGGCCCTCAGCGTCCCCTTCCCATGCCTGGACTGCGGAAGAGCCCTGAACACACCCCATCTTCATGCCTCCAGCGCTAGCCCGAGCCCTTCCCTCTGCCAAGAGCACTAAGTGCAACTCAAGATCACTTCTAGGGACCCTTCCCTGCCCCTGCTGCCAGGTGACCTGAGGATCCTGCTGGTCCCGCTTGACAATGATGCACAGCATGGTTAGTTCAGCTGAGGTCGCTCTCCCAGACTTACTGCCACCTACACAGCACTAGGACTGACTGTTTAACTTTATTCTTTATTTCGTGTACTTTATTGGAGTGTCTGTTGAAAGCAAAACCATCCAATAAGGAACAATCCCAAGGCAGCCAGCATGGATCAAGAAGGCACAGGCTGTGGCCGCCATCCCCAGTGCCTGATGGGGAGAGGGGGTGGTAATGGAAAAGGCCCAGGAAAGCAGGCCAGAGTGTCCCTCAAAATATGAGAAATCACTGGAAGAGAGAGCCAGAATGGGACCTAAGACAGAAGCCACCACCAGGCACCCTTAAGGCAGGACAGTTGCAATGGTTACTTGGAATACTTCCGGCTAGGAGTGGTGTTGCGGGAAGTCAGGGACCCCAAACAGAGGGACCGGCTGAAGCCATGACAGAAAAACGTGGATTGTGAAGATTTTATGGACATTTATTAGTTCCCCAAATTAATACTTTTATAATTTCTTATACCTGTCTTTACTGCAATCTCTAAACATAAATTGTAAAGATTTCATGGACACTTATCACTTCCCCAATCAATACCGTTGTGATTTCCTATGCCTGTCTTTACTTTAATCTCTTAATCCTGTCAACCAAGGAGGATGTATATGGCCTCAGGACCCTGTAATAATTGCATTAACTGCACACATTGTACAGGATGTGTGTTTGAGCAATATGAAATGTGGGCACCTTGAAAAAAGAACAGGATAACAGCAATTGTTCAGGGAATAAGAGAGATAACCTTAAACTCTGACTGCTGGTGAGCCAGGCGGAACAGAGCCACATTTCTCTTCTTTCAAAAGCAAATAGGAGAAATATCGCTGAATTCTTTTTCTCAGCATGGAACGTCCCTGAGAAAGAGAATACGCACCAGGAGGTATCAGCTTATAAACAGCACCCCTGGGCGTGGCCTGTCTCTTATGGTCGAGACTGCAGAGATGAAATATACTCCAGTCTCCCATAGCACTCCCAGGCTTATTAGGAAGAGGAAATTCCCACCTAATAAATTTTGGTCAGACCAGTTGGTCTCAAAACCCTGTCTCCTGATAAGATGTTATCAATGACAATGGTGCCCGAAACTTCATTAGCAATTTTAATTTTGCCTCGGTCCTGTGGTCCTGTGATCTTGCCCTGCCTCCACTTGCCTTGTGATATTCTATTACCCTCTTAAGTACTTGATGTCTGTCACTCACACCTGTTCGCACACTCCCTCCCCTTTTGAAAATCCCTAATAAAAACTTGCTGGTTTTTGTGGCTTGTGGGGCATCACGGATCCTACCAACGTGTGACGTCTCCCCCGGATGCCCAGCTTTACAATTTCTCTCTTTTGTACTCTCTCCCTTTATTTCTCAAGCCGGCTGACGGTTAGGAAAAATAGGAAAGAACCTACGTGATTATTGGGGCAGGTCCCCCGATAGAGTGGCACATGATGGGCACAGGGCAGGCTTGGGAAATGGGGGGCCGTAAGGCCACAAGACATGTGGGCAGGTAGCCCAGAGTGTGTCTGGAACATCCTGTTTATTGGTCGGCAGTGACATCTACTGTCACATTTGAGAACTGCATCCACAGCCACATGACCTCCTGTGAAGACCTCAGGGCAAACTGGGGAAACCTGCCCTTCTTGGAAGGTGATACTAGGGGGGATGAGCAACACCTTTCTTGGAGGTTTGAATTCTTCAGGGCCCCTCCAGCATCTTGGTCTTCCTAATTCCTCCCTTGATCCCCCAGCCCTAGGGGTGGTAGCTTCTTGCAGTGTTTACCTCCGTGTTAATCTGGATTCTCTCTGTCTTCGGAGTTCTCTAATGCCTGGTTACCAATTCTTTATATCAAGTTCTCTCCGTTAAAATCATTGTGGTGGGGTCCATCCCATGGATATACATGGAGGTCTGTGTGACAATGTATAATCTTACTATTTGCAGTTATTACAAAACTGTCCTAGAAGACATGAATGCTTGTTAAAAGAAATCTTTTAAGTTTCCTAGACTTCAAAGACCGTTGCTATGCCCTGTGAAACATCGCCTATATCCTTTAACAGTTTGCAATTCGAATTGGTTACTTACTTAACATTTTGTTGCCCTGGTGATACAATTATGTTGACTCGTTATTGTGAGGTTACTTTGTTATTAACCATGATGAGGATTACTAGCACATACTTTTACTCCATATGTATAACACAACAATGTAGTAAAACCAATAACTCTTGGTTCTCTATTCAAAGTGTTTGGAATCTTTATTCTGTTTAAAACACTGATGACATTTGCCAATTTTTGAGTGTTCTTCATGTTACTGATTTGTAGGAGCTCTTTATATATTGCAGATTTAGTCTCTTACTGGTTATGTATGCTGCACCTGAGGAGTAGCAGCACTGCCAAGGACACTGAGTGTCTTGTCTGTGCAGAGCTTCACATGAAGCTGGAGAGAAGGGACTGGGGCAAGAGGGAAAGATAAAAAGGGGCAAGTAAGTAACAGAATGAATCCTTGTTGCTAATCTCCTGGCCCCCATCCCAGACCCTTCAGGGGATCCTGGCGATTCGAAGCAGCATAGCCTGATAGGCCTCTGGTGAGGGTGTTGGGAGGGTTTTCTTGGCCGCCTGTTCCAGGATGCTCAAGATGATGCTGTGGGCCTCCTGGCATAGCTCAGCACCCAGGAAAGCCTCCACTCGTCCACGCCATGCTGCCAGTCGTGGCCGTCCCTCAAACAGTTCATAGCCGAGAGCCACCGGCTGTAGGGACAAGGATGAAAAAGTTGTGGGCATACAACTTTCCCAGTTGTCACTGCCGACCCGAATGCTGGAACCATGGGCAGAAGTATCAGAGACATGGTCCATTCCCCAGCCCCTAAGTGAATGGACCACAGGGGCCCAGGCAGTATGTTCAGCCTTAGAGCCCAAGAGCAGCCAGGGTGAGACCCCACACCCAGGCAGGAGGCAGAAGTTCAGGGTTCTGGCCCCAGATCATCCAGAGACTTGCTCTATGATTCTGGGCAAAGTTCTGGCTTTCTCCAGGCCTCAGTGTTTCTGTCTGCCTCATGGGTGTGACACGAAGAGGGACACTGCCCACAGGCTGAGCTCACACCTGCATCAGCTCCTCCAGGGCCATGAGATCAGCCAGTGTCACCTGCTGGCCAGCGAGGAAGGGCCTGTCCCCCAGGAACTTGTCCTCCAGCCATTGCAGGGCCTGGTCCATGGCAGTCCTGTTGCGTTCCACCTTCTCCTCGGGCACCTGGACCCCAATGAGGGGCCCCAACACCTGATGGGGGCAGAGAGTGGGTCAGTCTATGGCCCCGGCCTACTGCCAACTACTCCCTGATGGCCAATCACTCTCCAGATGGCTCTCCTCACCTGGACCCACAGGGGTATACCAAAGGTGCCACGGATGCAGTCGGCATGCCAGCCCAGGTACTCATGAACACGGGCACGAGCCTGCAGGTCAGATGGATACCAGTGGTCCGGCGTCTGGTACTTACAGCTCAGGTAAATCAGGATGGCCGAGCTGGGAACAAATGGGCAGTGGCTATAAGGACACTGGCACCAGGCATTTACCCCTAACTGCTCCCATCTGCCAGTGGGGCCCGGGGGCTTCTCTGCATTTGAAGGACTGCCCTCCAGCCTCGCCCTCCATCTCCAGCTCCCCAACACCACCCCCTCCTCCTACGAGTCTCCTCCTGTCTTTGTTGCCTTGGGCACCGACTCTTGGCTGGACCTTCTGCTTTGCATTTTGAGAACCTCATCTCTGTGATATGCCAGCAGCCGCCCTGTGAGGTAGACACTCCTGTTAGCCTTTTAGCACAAGAGAAAACTCAAGGTCAGAATGGTCAAGTGACTTGTCCGAGGCGGTGCAGCTCAGAATAGGCTCCCTGGACCCCTGGAACCCTGCATGGGGCTGGCACACAGTGGATGCTCCGTGGAGTCCCTTGCATGTCCACGCGCTTGGGTCAGGGATCACGAGGGGAGGAATGTCTTTGGCCCCCGTCTGACAGGCCCCCAGCCATCACTTCTGCAGCCACCTGACCTCTTGTCCTTTTCCTGCCCAGCAGCTGGACCTCACCATGAGCTGTGCCCTTGGGCCATGGCATTGGCCTCTAGGCCCGGCCTGGGTAGATTGGGTAGTCTGCGACAAGTCACTAGAGGCTCTTTTCAGCTAGCATTTGTTGAACAAATGCGCAACAGTGGAAAAATGTTCCCTTGTCTTCTCTTCTAATACCCTTCAGTCTGGGAGTGGAGAGGCCCTGCGGCTCAGAAAAGGCTGGAAGATGAGAGGTGGGGGGACATGTTCTGTCAGCCCCTGCTCATCCCGGTCACACCCCAAGCTGTACCTTCTCCCCAGATACCTCTCCTTTCTTTCTTTCCTTTTTTTTTGAGACGGAGTCTCCCTCTGTCGCCCAGGCTGGAGTGGGCTCCCTCTGTCACCCAGGCTGGAGTGCAGTGGTGCTATCTCTGCTCATTGCAAGCTCCGCCTCCTGGGTTCACGCCATTCTCCTGCCTCAGCCTCCCCAGTAGCTGGGACTACAGGCGGCCGCCACCACGCCCTGCTAATGTTTTGTATTTTTAGTAGAGACAGGGTTTCACCGTGTTACCCAGGATGGTCTCGATCTCCTGACCTCGTGATCCGCCCACCTCGGCCTCCCAAAGTGCTGGGATTACAGGCGTAAACCACCGCGCCCGGCCTTTTTGAGACGGAGTCTAGCTCTGTCGCCCAGGCTGGAGTGCAGTGGCGCGATCTCAGCACACTGCAAGCTCCGCCTCCTGGGTTCACACCATTCTCCTGCCTCAGCCTCCAGAGTAGCTGGGACTACAGGCGCCCGCCACCACGCCCGGTTAACTTTTTTTCCATTTTTAGTAGAGACGGTGTTTCACGGTGTTAGCCAGGATGGTCTCGGTCTCCTGACCTCGTGATCCGCCCGCCTTGGCCTCCCGAAGTGCCGGGATGACAGGCGTGAGCCACCGCGCCCGGCCAGATCCCTCGCCTTTCCCCTCCCTCGCTGCCCCATGGGGTATGGGAGGGCCACTGGGGCCCGGGGCCAGTGGGGAGAGCCAAGGTCACATGGGCTCCGGATGCGGTGAGGGGTGAGGGAAGGAGGGCACCTTTCAGTCAAGATGAAATCACCATCCTTGAGCGTCGGCAGTTTCCCCAGGCTGTTGATCTGCAAGAACTCCTTGCTCTTGTGCTGCCCTGAAGAGGAAGAAGTCAGAAAAGGTCTTCAGAATAAAAACGCTGCACCTCTACACCCTCCCTCCTCCTCCCCAAGCGGAGCCCCACAGCCCTGAGAAACAGCAAGGTCTGGGACTAGAGGCCTGGATCAGCCTCACTCCCTGGCTGGGCCTCCCTGCCCTGCCACATTCCGGGGCAGCTGGGGGGTTTTGGTGGGTGGGGCCAGGTGCAGCAGGTGGATAAAGAGAAGTTTTCTAGCCGGACTCTGGTGGGCCAGGGGAGGGGAGGCAAACTGGGGTGGCTCATCTCTTCCCATCTCTTAATTCTCACAACAGTATGTCCTTCTTCCCGAGGTCTTCTGGGCTTTGTGAATTTATATGCGTGCATTCCACGCAAGAACTCTGTCAACTCCATTCAGTATTTTCTTTCCATCCCTACAGAGCAGAAGGTAACGTTATCCTCCTTTTCAGAAGGCAAGCTAAGGTTCAGAGAGGCTGTGATCCCTTCAAGGCCACTCAGTCCACAGCATTCTCTGGTGGCAGACGCTGCAGGAGGAGGTGAGGGGGCTGTGCGGGCGGCGAGACGCTCAGGGCAGAGCAGGGCGGGGGCCTGGGGGTGCACTGGGTTTGTGGACACGCGGGGAAACGGGCTGGGCCCACCTTTGACCAAATCCACGGTGCGCAGCTCTAAGGGGATGCCATTCTTCTTGGCGAAGATGTAGACGGCGCGGCTGGGCTGGGACACCAGGTCAAGAAACAGCTCTAGGCCCATGGCGGGGGCGGCAAGGACAGCGGGGATGGCAGTGAAGGCGCTGAGCGCGGTGTGGGCAGCAGCTGTGGCAGGATCCCGGCGCGCCGGGAAATAGGGGATCAGGCCCCACCCCCTGGGGACAGCACCCAATTGGAGCGCACCACCCCCGGACCCGCCTCGCCCCTTCGGTTCCTGTCCAGTCCTGCCGGCCAAGACTCCACCACCAGATCCGTGCGTCCCTACAGGGAGGGCGGTCGCTATGAACGCACAGCTGGGAGGGTGGAGTTGGAGCTGGGGACCCTCGACTGGCAGGGAGGACGCGGATGCAGGGGGCCGACTGCAAGGGGAAGGGGAACCGGCTGGACAGGGAGAAGCAGGTCTGCTTTTCGGGATCCCGGTGCCAGGGACCCTGCCCAGTTCCAGGCGTCGCCCTGACCCAGAAACGACTGGGCGCCGCCGTCCTGGAAAGGCCCCAGCGCACGGACATCTGAGGGTTCGTTCAGAGCTCTGTTTCTCGGCGCTGCATGGTGGCGGAAGGGAGGGAGCGAATGGGATCCCCTAAAAGGGATCTTAGAGTTTCACCCAGTGGGATGTGACACTTGCAGGTGTCCCAAACTGGTGGGAACCTTGACTGGAAGGCTGGGGTTAAGGATGAACTTTCTGCCGTCCAGACTGTCCCCTGCAGAGCAGCTGCTGCCAGACAGCGGGAGCTGCCAGACAGCGGGAGCTCCCACTTCGTGCACAGGATGGGGGCAGGGAGCCCGCAGCCGCGGGAGGCAGGAATGACTGTCCGGGAACCTCCTTTCTTCTCCCTGAATCCCAGCCCTGGCATCTCACCAGGGGGCACAGTGATGGTCCAGGGCTGGGCCCGGGACTCTAGCTGAATCTTTCAGAGTATCCCATCCCTCTGGCCAGTGGCCCAAGCGAGTGAACCAGAATGCTTCCTTGGGAGTTTTGAAACTGGAACTGGAGAGAGGAGCTCCCTATGGGGAGGTAAACGGGAGCTGGGGCCACCTGTAGTGACATTTCCTGAGTTCGAGGAGTAGACGAGACTGAGAGAGAAAAGCTGACTCAGAGAAAGGGAGTGATAACAGGGCATGCTGGCCCACACCTGCAATCCCAGTTACTCTCACGGGATCTGTTTCTCTGATGTCTGGGTATGAAAGGACTTTCTAAGCCTCAGAACAGTGGGAGAACTCAACAAAGAAAAAACCAATACATATACAAGGTTACTTTGTGGAGGAAAAAATGGATTAACCTTAAGCAAAAAACTGGGAAGGATCTCGGTAAAAGATACGTCAGAAGGAAGTAATGTCCTTTAAGATGTTCTTAGAAACCCATCAGACAGGTGGGGTGTGGTGGTTCACGCCTGTAATCCCTGTACTTTGGGAGGCAGAGATGGGCGGATCAGTTGAGGTCAGGAGTTTGAGACCAGCCTGGGCAACACGGTGAAGCCCCGTCTCTACTAAAAATACAAAAATTAGCTGGGTGCGGTGGCACACTCGGGAGGCTGAGACAGGAGAATCACTTGAACCTTGGAGGCAGAGGTTTCAGTGAGCTGAGATCATACCACTGCACTCCAGCCGGGCCACTGAGCGAGACTGTCTCAAAACAAACAAACGAACAAACAAAAAGAAGAGAAACTCATCAGACGAAGACACAGGAAAAAAATGAGCGAAGGAAATCAGCAGAGGTTTCATTGAAGGACAAAGAGAAATGGTCAATACATGGATGAAAACATGTTTAACTTCAGTAATAATCAAGGAAGCACACACCAACACAACATGCACATACTGTTTTTATTTATCAAAGGCACACATATTTTTGAAATGAGTACTCCTAATTAATATGTACAGAGCACTTACCCAGTGCCCAGCACAGGGGTGGCACCCTGTGTGTGAGACAGCATGAAACAGGTAGACACGCGCCCTGCTGAAAGTAAGGGACCGCCTCTCTGGAGGATCCATCGGGCAATAAGGAGGTTTCCACACCTTAACTGTGTCTGCCTTGACCTCTGGGGCCTGGGAGCAGAGCCCCCTCCAGCTGGTGGGGAAGGAAGCGTGGTGTGTTTGAGGACAGAATGGAGAGAAGTTGAGTAGAGCAAGTGTAGACTCTTCCTATCCAAAGTGTGGTCAATGGACTGGGAGTATCAGCATCACCAGGGAGCTTGTTGGAAATGCAGAGGCTCAGGCCCCACTCTGACCTTACTGATTGGGAGCATAAACTGTAACCAGATTCCAGGGAGGATTCATACACACATTCCCGTTTGATAAGTGGGGGGTAGTAGGAGGTGAGGTGAAAAGTGGGGAGGGGATGGCTACCGCACTGGAGAAGGCTGGCTTTGTGTTGAGGCCTTTCTCATGAGGGCAGTGGGGAGCCATGGAAGGCTTTATGCAAGAGAGGGTACGGGCAGATTGAGATTACAGAAGGATCCCACTGGTTGCCTTGTGTGAGGACCCAGGGAGAAGGGGGAGGCTGTCCCTGTTTGAGTAGGAGATGAGAGCTACTGGTGGCTATGAGTGGAAAGAAGTGAGCAGAGGTGAGCAGAAATCCCAAGGACTGGTGATGATAGGATGATGGTGGGAACCAGGATGGGCTTTGGGCAGACCCTGACCCCTCTCTCTGCCTGTCGGCCCACCAGATAATAATCCCTGTGTTCCTGGGCGAGTCAGTGCCACCCGAGATGTTGGCGGCCACTTTGGCTGAGCTGGACGGATGCCTGCAGCTGCTCGAGGACAAGTTCCTGCGGGACCAGGCCTTCCTTACTGGGCCCCGTATCTCTGTGGCTGGCTTGGTGGCAATCACGGAGCTGAGGCATGAGAGTGCCATGGGGTGCGGTGGCCCGCTGGGCAGTGGTGTATCCGGGAAGGGAGCTGACATCCCAGCTCATGTTGTCTTTTCTGGCTGTGGGACCCTGTGTGAGTCACTTCTCCTTCTGAGCCTCAGTGTCCTCATCTATAAAATGGGGCTTTACAAACCCCTCACCGCAGCTATATTAAGAGGCTTCCAAGTGTCCCCAGGGAGGGGGACATCCTAGCCCATCACACACATGGTGGAGGAGGGAAAATCCAATCAGAGAACCCCTAAAGCAGGTCATGCTGCCTTACACTTGGCTATGCCCAGCCCCTCCGCTGACTCTGTCTTCCCCTAGCCCATCAGTGCTGGCTGCTGAGTCTTTGAAAGCGGACCCACGGTGGCAGCATGGTGCCCAACACGTGGAGGCTGCAGTGCGGGAGGACCTCTTCCAGGAGGCCCTCCCAGCTGTCCTGAAGGCCAAGGACCTGCCTCCAGTAGAACCTGCTGTTAAAGAGAATCTGAAGACCTTAATGCAGCTTTTCTTGCTGTGAGTGCGTGTCCCACACTTGCTGAGCCACTGAGGGGATGCTGTGTTGGTAGAATAAAGACATGGAGCTGTCCGTCTCCTTGGTTGAAGAGAAGACATATCTGCAAAGGCTCTGGTCCACAGTTCCTCCAGATATCATGCCTGCATTCCTTTTGTCTCCTACCCCATTCCATTCTAGCTTCCATGTGACCTCTGAAAAGAGCTTGGGCAAACGCTTACTTGACCCTGACCTTCTGTGTGGAACTTTGTATGGTTCCTCACTGCCCAGAAGCTAAAGTACAAGTCATTGAACTTTGCATTCAAGGCCTTGCTCCCACTCCTCCAGGTGGCCCCTTCTGCCTGCACACTCCTAACCCCTCTCTGGGCTCCCACCTTGGCCTCTTGGCCTCCGCTCATGCTGTTCCCTCCTCATCTTCGCCTGGTGCCCTTCCTGGTCTTTTGGCATTTGGCACCCTGTCTCTTCTCCAGGGAGACTTCCCTGACCTCCCCAGCCCCAGTCCAGGTCAGGCGACCTCTCTGGGCTCCTCAGCCCCAGTGTTTCCTTGCGGGGGATACCCCCGGACTGAGCATGTATCATCGATGAGGGGTGACCTGGTGGAAAGATGTCTGAATCAGGATCAGCCTTGGTCTCCTCGGTCTCTCTCCTCACTGTGGGGCGATGTTGTGTTCCACAAGTGGGGTGCAGGGCTGGTTCATGAACCTCCTTGCAGGAAGGGAAGTCCCTGGTTATTTCCTGGCCCTCTCCCATGCCTCCTCATAACCTTGACCACAGTCTTCTCTACACCCCACTCCCGGACCACTGGCTTGTCCATGCCCCACACCTGGTCCCAGACTTGCCACCTGTCCCTGCCCTCTCCCCTTAGGACTGTCATATTTACCTGTCGTGTGTCTCAGACCTTCTGATATCTGAGTCATCTAATAAACAAACTGCTAATAGGACAAGATCATGACAGACAGAGACTCTGTCGGCCTTTCAGTGGAGGCTCCTTTAAGTATGCACACTTATAGAGAATTTTATACACGTAGTTGAAATTGTACATATAAACTTGCAAATTTTTTCTTTCTTTTTTGTGGGGGAGGGGGGAGCCTGGGTCTCACTCTGTCATCTAGGGTGGAGTGCAGTGGCACAGTCATAGCTCCCTGCAGCCTAGATCTCCTGCGCTCAAGCAATCCTCCTGCCTCAGCCGCCCAGGTAGCTAGGACTACAGGCACACACCACAGCACCCAGATTTCTTTCTTTTTTTTTTTTTTTTTGTAGAAAATAAAGAAGAGAATCTTGCTATGTTGCCTAGCCTGATCTTTAACTCCTGGGCTCAAGCAATCCTCCCTTCTTAGCCTCCCAAAGTGCTGAGATTACAGGTGTGAGCCACATTGCTCGACCACAACTTCAGTCATATTTGTAATGTACAATTCAAGTGATTTTGCCACACTGACCACACTCATGTTTAAGCCACGCCAACAGAGTTCCATGTTTTCTGATGTTTTTTCGAGATGGAGTCTCGCTCTGTCACCCAGGCTGGAGTGCAATGGCGCGATCTCGGCTCACTGCAACCTCCACCTCCCCGGTTCAAGCGATTCTCCTGCCTCAGCCTCCCGAGCAGCTGGGATTACAACGTCTGCCACCACGCCCGGCTAATTTTTGTATCTTTAGTAGAGACGGGGTTTCGTCATGTTGGCCAGGCTGGTCTCAAACTCCTGACCTCAGGTGATCCGCCCGCCTGGACCTCGCAAAGTGCTGGGATTACAGGCGTGAGCTACCGTGCCCGGCCTTTCCATGTTTTAAAGAACATATTTTGCCACCCCCTGGTGGACAGTGGCTCACCACCGGCACAAGAGGCTACACAGGCAGATGTCAATGGGGACCAGGCAGGGACAGGTATTGTCGTGAGCCTAGCCCTACCCGCGCCCCCGCGAGTAACCACATCTCCTGACTGCCCAAGCGCAGATTTCCATACTGAACATGAAATTGCCTGACTTCGAAATGGTGGCAAATCATTCAAAAAAACTTTAAGCTCCCGTTGTATTGGTTATTAGGGTCGAGCCTGGGGAAGACCCCTATAGGTGTGTGTGTGTCCTTGTGTGTCGGGGGTGTGGTGTTCAGACCTCTAATAGGGCTAGGAACCGGGCGACCACAGCGCGGAAGCTTGAGAGGGAAACCCACCTGGCGCCAGGCAGGAGGGTCGGGGGAGACAGGGTGGGTCCACTACCGGGTTAAAGACCTGTAGTGGGTGGGGCTACACGTAGGGCGGAGACGATGGGACTTCCGGAAATCAGCCGGCACACGTGACTTTTGTTTGCAGAAGCGGGAGGTACCCTAGGCAGCCAATCGGGGAGCGCCGAGTCTCTGTCCAGCCAATGAGAAGCCAGGTTGCTGTGGCGCCTCGCCCCTCCTCCCTGGTCCGCGAGCCTTGGGTACCCCCAGCTTTTCTTCCGCCAGAGCTGTTTCCGTTCCTCTGCCCGCCATGCCGTTCCTGGAGCTGGACACGAATTTGCCCGCCAACCGAGTGCCCGCGGGGCTGGAGAAACGACTCTGCGCCGCCGCTGCCTCCATCCTGGGCAAACCTGCGGACGTAAGCGTGGGCCGGGCAGCACGGGGCGAGGGGAGGTTGGTGGGCCAGGGGTCCGGCCCTGTCCCTGCTCCGCCTCCCCGACAGTGACCCCGAATCTTTTCCCCAGGGACCACTCCCCACTCCTTTCCTCACGCCAAGCTCTGACTTTCCGTGCTCCACGATCCCGCGGCTCCCCCTCCGCACGTCTTTCCCTTGTCGCCCTCCCCAGTCATGACCCGGGCGTGACCTTCAGGGACCGCGGCCCGTATCGGGATCCCTGCCCCGCGAACACTGCGCGTTTCGGCTTTCGCGCGCTCGGGTCCCGTCCCCAGAGGTAGCCCGGCCGGCTCCAACTTCGGGCAAAACTTTTCATGTCCCCCTCAGCGCGTGAACGTGACGGTACGGCCGGGCCTGGCCATGGCGCTGAGCGGGTCCACCGAGCCCTGCGCGCAGCTGTCCATCTCCTCCATCGGCGTAGTGGGCACCGCCGAGGACAACCGCAGCCACAGCGCCCACTTCTTTGAGTTTCTCACCAAGGAGCTAGCCCTGGGCCAGGACCGGTGCGTAGGGGTAGTAGGGGATCCATGTGGGACTGCCGCAGACTGGAGCCACTGATCCTGCCTCAGGGGGAAAAACCCATTTCTTGCCCTGCCCAGTAAGGACACATCAGGGTCTGGAGCTTTGGGGCCCCCTGACCCCTTAGGTTCCTGCTGTTAGGACCATCTTCAAAGTGCGAGCAGGATTGAATGAATTTCTGGCTCTGCTCCTCAGTGTGTAAGTCTGTGAACCGGGAAGGCTCTCTTTTAACACCCCCGGGGCAGTGCAAGGGTCATGTGGGATTGTCTGTGTGCTGTACCTGCCTTGGCACCTGACAGGGTAGGTACACGTGGCTGAAGTGTGATTTTCTAGAACTTTTCCAGGCTGGTCAGAAGGAATTCTGGGTATGTTCTGAAGTTACGTATTTTGGACCTGTGTCCCAGCCAGGTTCCAGGTGAAGTTCACGGGAGACTCACAGAGTAGTGAAAGACCATTGGCCTGGATGTCTAGACATCTGCTTTCTGGGTCCTGCATAGCTGGGGGACCCCAGACAAACTTGGAAATGAACCATCTCCAGTTGGCAACCTCCTCTTCTGTGAATACAGGGGAAAAGACCTCCCTCCCCCACAAGAAGCGTCTGCAACCCAAACCTGGCGTTCTGTGACCGAGTTAAAGTTTCCTCTTGGGTAAAAGATATTCTTGAGCCACATCCATGTCTAGGAGGAAGTAAGGGCATGAGAAGCTTGAAAGGACACTGTCCAGGCACGGTGGCTCATGCCTGTAATCCCAGCACTTTGGGAGACCAAGGCGGGAGGTTCATTTGACCCAGGAGTTGTAGACCAGTCTGGGTAACATAGTGAGATGCCATCCCCCAAAACAGTTTTAAAAATTAACCGGACATGGTGGTGTGCACATGTAGTCTCACTTAGTTGGCAGGCTGAAGTGGGAGGATGGTTTCAGCCCAGGAGGTTGAGGCTGCAGTGAGCTATGATTGCGCATTGCACTCCATCCTGTGTGACAGTGAGACCTTGGCTCACAAAAAAAGACCTTCTGAAATGGAGCCTTTGTTAGTCCATGAAGGTCGATGAGGAATGGCTGATCCTGCTGGGTCCTCCCTCAAGCTACAGAGGAATAATACAGTCAGCCCCCTGTATCACTGGGTTACGCATCTGTTGATTCAAACAACCATGGATTGAAATATTAGAGGAAAAAAAATTGATAATTGCATCTATACTGAAAATACGTATAGACTTTATTCCTTGTCATTATTCCCTAAACAATACAACTATTTACATAGTACGTACATTATATTAGGTATTATAAGTAACCCAGAGATTATTTAAAGTATATGAGAGGATGTGTGTAGGTTACATGCAAATATTACACCATTTTATGTAAGGGACTTGAGCAAATGTAGATTCTGGTTTCCTCTGGGGATTCTAGAACAAATCTCCCACGGATACTCAGGGAAAACTGTTACTCTAACAACAAGTGTTATACACTTACCATGTGCTAGGTCCTCTACAGGTACTTTACACTCATGATCCCATTTGATCCTTACAATCCCTATCCACTCTCCCTTTGCTCAGACAAGACATGCTATCCCCATGAGGTAGATAATCTCCATTATGCCAATTTTATGATGAGAAGACTAAGGCTCTTCATACTCCCCCGCCCTCAGCCAGGCTGTCCCAAGCTGTGGCGCTCCTCACTGAAAACTGCTGTCACCTCTGAGAGGGGCATGTTGGCTTATGGCACAGACATTAGTGGTGGGGGGGCCACCCTGTGCCCAACCTTTGAGAAAACAGGTGTCTGAGGTACTGTGTCCTTAGGGAGTCTGCAATTAGGAGGAGGCAGATTGCCCCTCAGCCCACAGACTGACAGAGATGATGGAGTGTGCAGCACACACGATGAGGCTACTGTGTTGAGTGTCTGTCCTAGGTGGGTCATGCTGATGTGCAGCCACCATTCCACACCTGAGTGTCCCACTGCCCTGCTGGGGGTTGGGGAATGCTCATTACCGGGATGAGCACTTTTGCAAAATGGGCTGAGGTGGGAGGATCACTTAAGCCCAGGAATTCAAGACCACCCTGGGAAACAAAGTGCGACCCCATCTCTACAAAGTCATACAATTAGCCCAGCATGGTGGCATGAGCCTGTGATCCAAACTACATGGGAGGCTGAGGCAGAAGGTTTGTTTAGGCCCAGGAGGTCGAGGCTGCAATAATCTGAGTTTCCACCACTGCACTCACTCCATGCTGGCTGCCTTTGGATTGTTCCTAATTGGATGGTTTTGCTTTCAACAGACACTCCAATAAAGTACACGAAATAAAGAATAAAGTTAAACAGTCAGTCCCAGTGCTGTGTAGGTGGCAGTAAGTCTGGGAGAGCGACCTCGGCTGAACTAACTGTGGTGTGCATCATTGTTAAGCAGGGCCAGCAGGATCCTCATGTCACCTGGCAGGAGGAGGGACAGGGAAGGGTCCCTAGAAGTGACCTTGAGTTGCACTTAGTGCTCTTGGCAGAGGGAAGGGCTTGGGCTAGTGCTGGAGGCATGAAGATGGGGTGTGTTCAGGGCTCTCCAGCAGTCCAGGCATGGGAAGGGGACGCTGAGGGCCAAAGGCGGAGGTGACACTGGGAAGGGAACTAGCAAGGTGAGGACTGGCTTTTGGCCATGTGACTGAATTGCCTGTGTGGTGCGTGTGTATGTGTGCGAATGTCAGTGAACTGTGTGTGAGTGAATTGTGTGTTTATGTGTGGGTGTATATGTGTGTGATGTGAGTGAACTGTGTACATGGGTGTATACGTGAATTTTAGTGAATTGTGTGTAAATGTGAGCAGTGTGAATTTGAGTATGTGGGTGGATAAGTGAATTGTGATTTTGTTGGTGTGAATTGTGTGCCTGTGTGTGACGGGGAGTATGTGTGTGTGTGAGTGAACTGTGTGATGACTATGAATGTCAGTGAATGCTGTGATTGTGTGTGTGTGTGTACGTGTGTGGGGATTTGGTCTATATGTGTGAATTTGAGTTGTGTGACTTTGTTGGATGTGAGTGAATTATGTGACTGGGTGTATATGTGTGTGTACACGAGTTAACTGTGTGTAAATGGTATGATTGTATATGTGTGTGAATGTGATGAATCGTGACTAGATGCGGGTGGATGTGTGTATGTGCATGGTGTGTCCATGAGTGTGTAAGTGTGCAGGTGGCACAGTTGCAACAGGAGAGAAGACACAGGAAGCCTTACCTGCCATTCATCCCCCCAGCTGTCCTCCCAGCCTGGGGACCCCTGGGCTGGAAAGGTTATGAAAAGTGGTGCTACTGCCAGGAAGGGGTGATGGGGCAGCTGGGAGGACGGTTTGAGTCTTGCCAAAGGGAGGGAGTCGAAGCTTGCAACCCTGGGGAGGAGGAGGGGCAGACTGGGGACCCTGCTTCTGGAAAACCAGCGACCAACCCCCAAAGGGACACAGGCAACCCCTGCCTCCACTCTACAGTGGGGAAAAGGGGAGAGTGGCGTGGCAGGCTGCCCAGCCAGTCATGGAGGGAGTAGACTTCAGGAGGAGTACAGAGGTCTGGTCCCATTTTGGGGCTGAGGACAGGAGCCTCAGGTCAGCAGTCTGCAGGAAGGCCCCAGCTGGACCAGCTGCTCACACCTTCCCACAGGCCTGCAGATGGGTGTGGAGAGCAGAGCCTCCAGGCTGAGTCTCCCAGCCCCAGATCTGAGCAGTCTAAATCATCCCCCTCCAGGTTCCCTACGGTCTTATCCACCAGCCCTGCTGCCCATGGTGGCCCCAGATGCCCAGGAGAGATAATAGAAGGTAAGAAGTCATGTTTGAATGAGGAAGCTCTCTTCATTTATTTCATATGAGGATGAAGAAGAGGATTATGTGATCACAGGAATGTTGCATGCGGGATAATCCAAAGCTGGTTATCTCCAGGCCCTCACTCTGCCAAGAGATCTCTCTGGAAGAAGCAGCCAGTTCACAGATGCCCTGGATCCCTCCGTGCCCAATCATAAAAAAGTCATGACCGTCCCTATCTTGCCAATCTGCCAGGACTCCAAGGGGAAAAAGCGGATAAGTATCCTTCAGGAGACAGAGAAAAAGATATCATCAGCTCCTTGGCTAATACCACATCTTGCAAGACCCCTGCCAGGTACTCCCACTGTGGGTACTCAGGACAGCCTGCCTCAGTCCACCAGGCATTTTGCAAACCTGCTCATCCCAATAATGATTTTCCCCAACCCCCAGCAGGGCAGTGGGACACTCAGGTGTGGGAGGTAGCCGCACATCATGACCCAGCTAGGACAGACACACAATACAGTAGCCTCGGTGTGTGTGCCGTACACTCTATCATCTCCATCAGTTTGTGTACTGAGGGGTACCCTGCCTCCTAATTGCAGGCTCCCTAAGGGCACAGTACCTCAGCCACCTGTTTTCTCAAAGGCTGAGCACAGGGTGACCCCCCACCCCACCAACCCCGCCACTAATGTCTGGGCCATAAGTGAACATGCCCCTCTCAGAGGTAACAGCAAGTTTCCAGTGAGGAAAACCAGAACTTGGGACAGCCTGGTTGGGGCGGGCGGGAGTATGAACAGCCTGTCTTCTCATCATAAAATTGGCATAATGGAGATTATCTACCTCATGGGGATAGCATGTCTTGTCTGAGCAAAGGGAGAGTGGATAGGGATTGTAAGGATCAAATGGGATCATGAGTGTAAAGTACCTGTAGAGGACCTAGCACATGGTAAGTGTATAACACTTGTTGTTAGAGTAACAGTTTTCCCTGAGTATCCGTGGGAGATTTGTTCTAGAATCCCCAGAGGAAACCAGAATCTACATTTGCTCAAGTCCCTTACATAAAATGGTGTAATATTTGCATGTAACCTACACACATCCTCTCATATACTTTAAATAATCTCTGGGTTACTTATAATACCTAATATAATGTACGTACTATGTAAATAGTTGTATTGTTTAGGGAATAATGACAAGGAATAAAGTCTATACGTATTTTCAGTATAGATGCAATTATCAATTTTTTTTCCTCTAATATTTCAATCCATGGTTGTTTGAATCAACAGATGCGTAACCCAGTGATACAGGGGGCTGACTGTATTATTCCTCTGTAGCTTGAGGGAGGACCCAGCAGGATCAGCCATTCCTCATCGACCTTCATGGACTAACAAAGGCTCCATTTCAGAAGGTCTTTTTTTGTGAGCCAAGGTCTCACTGTCACACAGGATGGAGTGCAATGCGCAATCATAGCTCACTGCAGCCTCAACCTCCTGGGCTGAAACCATCCTCCCACTTCAGCCTGCCAACTAAGTGAGACTACATGTGCACACCACCATGTCCGGTTAATTTTTAAAACTGTTTTGGGGGATGGCATCTCACTATGTTACCCAGACTGGTCTACAACTCCTGGGTCAAATGAACCTCCCGCCTTGGTCTCCCAAAGTGCTGGGATTACAGGCATGAGCCACCGTGCCTGGACAGTGTCCTTTCAAGCTTCTCATGCCCTTACTTCCTCCTAGACATGGATGTGGCTCAAGAATATCTTTTACCCAAGAGGAAACTTTAACTCGGTCACAGAACGCCAGGTTTGGGTTGCAGACGCTTCTTGTGGGGGAGGGAGGTCTTTTCCCCTGTATTCACAGAAGAGGAGGTTGCCAACTGGAGATGGTTCATTTCCAAGTTTGTCTGGGGTCCCCCAGCTATGCAGGACCCAGAAAGCAGATGTCTAGACATCCAGGCCAATGGTCTTTCACTACTCTGTGAGTCTCCCGTGAACTTCACCTGGAACCTGGCTGGGACACAGGTCCAAAATACGTAACTTCAGAACATACCCAGAATTCCTTCTGACCAGCCTGGAAAAGTTCTAGAAAATCACACTTCAGCCACGTGTACCTACCCTGTCAGGTGCCAAGGCAGGTACAGCACACAGACAATCCCACATGACCCTTGCACTGCCCCGGGGGTGTTAAAAGAGAGCCTTCCCGGTTCACAGACTTACACACTGAGGAGCAGAGCCAGAAATTCATTCAATCCTGCTCGCACTTTGAAGATGGTCCTAACAGCAGGAACCTAAGGGGTCAGGGGGCCCCAAAGCTCCAGACCCTGATGTGTCCTTACTGGGCAGGGCAAGAAATGGGTTTTTCCCCCTGAGGCAGGATCAGTGGCTCCAGTCTGCGGCAGTCCCACATGGATCCCCTACTACCCCTACGCACCGGTCCTGGCCCAGGGCTAGCTCCTTGGTGAGAAACTCAAAGAAGTGGGCGCTGTGGCTGCGGTTGTCCTCGGCGGTGCCCACTACGCCGATGGAGGAGATGGACAGCTGCGCGCAGGGCTCGGTGGACCCGCTCAGCGCCATGGCCAGGCCCGGCCGTACCGTCACGTTCACGCGCTGAGGGGGACATGAAAAGTTTTGCCCGAAGTTGGAGCCGGCCGGGCTACCTCTGGGGACGGGACCCGAGCGCGCGAAAGCCGAAACGCGCAGTGTTCGCGGGGCAGGGATCCCGATACGGGCCGCGGTCCCTGAAGGTCACGCCCGGGTCATGACTGGGGAGGGCGACAAGGGAAAGACGTGCGGAGGGGGAGCCGCGGGATCGTGGAGCACGGAAAGTCAGAGCTTGGCGTGAGGAAAGGAGTGGGGAGTGGTCCCTGGGGAAAAGATTCGGGGTCACTGTCGGGGAGGCGGAGCAGGGACAGGGCCGGACCCCTGGCCCACCAACCTCCCCTCGCCCCGTGCTGCCCGGCCCACGCTTACGTCCGCAGGTTTGCCCAGGATGGAGGCAGCGGCGGCGCAGAGTCGTTTCTCCAGCCCCGCGGGCACTCGGTTGGCGGGCAAATTCGTGTCCAGCTCCAGGAACGGCATGGCGGGCAGAGGAACGGAAACAGCTCTGGCGGAAGAAAAGCTGGGGGTACCCAAGGCTCGCGGACCAGGGAGGAGGGGCGAGGCGCCACAGCAACCTGGCTTCTCATTGGCTGGACAGAGACTCGGCGCTCCCCGATTGGCTGCCTAGGGTACCTCCCGCTTCTGCAAACAAAAGTCACGTGTGCCGGCTGATTTCCGGAAGTCCCATCGTCTCCGCCCTACGTGTAGCCCCACCCACTACAGGTCTTTAACCCGGTAGTGGACCCACCCTGTCTCCCCCGACCCTCCTGCCTGGCGCCAGGTGGGTTTCCCTCTCAAGCTTCCGCGCTGTGGTCGCCCGGTTCCTAGCCCTATTAGAGGTCTGAACACCACACCCCCGACACACAAGGACACACACACACCTATAGGGGTCTTCCCCAGGCTCGACCCTAATAACCAATACAACGGGAGCTTAAAGTTTTTTTGAATGATTTGCCACCATTTCGAAGTCAGGCAATTTCATGTTCAGTATGGAAATCTGCGCTTGGGCAGTCAGGAGATGTGGTTACTCGCGGGGGCGCGGGTAGGGCTAGGCTCACGACAATACCTGTCCCTGCCTGGTCCCCATTGACATCTGCCTGTGTAGCCTCTTGTGCCGGTGGTGAGCCACTGTCCACCAGGGGGTGGCAAAATATGTTCTTTAAAACATGGAAAGGCCGGGCACGGTAGCTCACGCCTGTAATCCCAGCACTTTGCGAGGTCCAGGCGGGCGGATCACCTGAGGTCAGGAGTTTGAGACCAGCCTGGCCAACATGACGAAACCCCGTCTCTACTAAAGATACAAAAATTAGCCGGGCGTGGTGGCAGACGTTGTAATCCCAGCTGCTCGGGAGGCTGAGGCAGGAGAATCGCTTGAACCGGGGAGGTGGAGGTTGCAGTGAGCCGAGATCGCGCCATTGCACTCCAGCCTGGGTGACAGAGCGAGACTCCATCTCGAAAAAACATCAGAAAACATGGAACTCTGTTGGCGTGGCTTAAACATGAGTGTGGTCAGTGTGGCAAAATCACTTGAATTGTACATTACAAATATGACTGAAGTTGTGGTCGAGCAATGTGGCTCACACCTGTAATCTCAGCACTTTGGGAGGCTAAGAAGGGAGGATTGCTTGAGCCCAGGAGTTAAAGATCAGGCTAGGCAACATAGCAAGATTCTCTTCTTTATTTTCTACAAAAAAAAAAAAAAAAAAGAAAGAAATCTGGGTGCTGTGGTGTGTGCCTGTAGTCCTAGCTACCTGGGCGGCTGAGGCAGGAGGATTGCTTGAGCGCAGGAGATCTAGGCTGCAGGGAGCTATGACTGTGCCACTGCACTCCACCCTAGATGACAGAGTGAGACCCAGGCTCCCCCCTCCCCCACAAAAAAGAAAGAAAAAATTTGCAAGTTTATATGTACAATTTCAACTACGTGTATAAAATTCTCTATAAGTGTGCATACTTAAAGGAGCCTCCACTGAAAGGCCGACAGAGTCTCTGTCTGTCATGATCTTGTCCTATTAGCAGTTTGTTTATTAGATGACTCAGATATCAGAAGGTCTGAGACACACGACAGGTAAATATGACAGTCCTAAGGGGAGAGGGCAGGGACAGGTGGCAAGTCTGGGACCAGGTGTGGGGCATGGACAAGCCAGTGGTCCGGGAGTGGGGTGTAGAGAAGACTGTGGTCAAGGTTATGAGGAGGCATGGGAGAGGGCCAGGAAATAACCAGGGACTTCCCTTCCTGCAAGGAGGTTCATGAACCAGCCCTGCACCCCACTTGTGGAACACAACATCGCCCCACAGTGAGGAGAGAGACCGAGGAGACCAAGGCTGATCCTGATTCAGACATCTTTCCACCAGGTCACCCCTCATCGATGATACATGCTCAGTCCGGGGGTATCCCCCGCAAGGAAACACTGGGGCTGAGGAGCCCAGAGAGGTCGCCTGACCTGGACTGGGGCTGGGGAGGTCAGGGAAGTCTCCCTGGAGAAGAGACAGGGTGCCAAATGCCAAAAGACCAGGAAGGGCACCAGGCGAAGATGAGGAGGGAACAGCATGAGCGGAGGCCAAGAGGCCAAGGTGGGAGCCCAGAGAGGGGTTAGGAGTGTGCAGGCAGAAGGGGCCACCTGGAGGAGTGGGAGCAAGGCCTTGAATGCAAAGTTCAATGACTTGTACTTTAGCTTCTGGGCAGTGAGGAACCATACAAAGTTCCACACAGAAGGTCAGGGTCAAGTAAGCGTTTGCCCAAGCTCTTTTCAGAGGTCACATGGAAGCTAGAATGGAATGGGGTAGGAGACAAAAGGAATGCAGGCATGATATCTGGAGGAACTGTGGACCAGAGCCTTTGCAGATATGTCTTCTCTTCAACCAAGGAGACGGACAGCTCCATGTCTTTATTCTACCAACACAGCATCCCCTCAGTGGCTCAGCAAGTGTGGGACACGCACTCACAGCAAGAAAAGCTGCATTAAGGTCTTCAGATTCTCTTTAACAGCAGGTTCTACTGGAGGCAGGTCCTTGGCCTTCAGGACAGCTGGGAGGGCCTCCTGGAAGAGGTCCTCCCGCACTGCAGCCTCCACGTGTTGGGCACCATGCTGCCACCGTGGGTCCGCTTTCAAAGACTCAGCAGCCAGCACTGATGGGCTAGGGGAAGACAGAGTCAGCGGAGGGGCTGGGCATAGCCAAGTGTAAGGCAGCATGACCTGCTTTAGGGGTTCTCTGATTGGATTTTCCCTCCTCCACCATGTGTGTGATGGGCTAGGATGTCCCCCTCCCTGGGGACACTTGGAAGCCTCTTAATATAGCTGCGGTGAGGGGTTTGTAAAGCCCCATTTTATAGATGAGGACACTGAGGCTCAGAAGGAGAAGTGACTCACACAGGGTCCCACAGCCAGAAAAGACAACATGAGCTGGGATGTCAGCTCCCTTCCCGGATACACCACTGCCCAGCGGGCCACCGCACCCCATGGCACTCTCATGCCTCAGCTCCGTGATTGCCACCAAGCCAGCCACAGAGATACGGGGCCCAGTAAGGAAGGCCTGGTCCCGCAGGAACTTGTCCTCGAGCAGCTGCAGGCATCCGTCCAGCTCAGCCAAAGTGGCCGCCAACATCTCGGGTGGCACTGACTCGCCCAGGAACACAGGGATTATTATCTGGTGGGCCGACAGGCAGAGAGAGGGGTCAGGGTCTGCCCAAAGCCCATCCTGGTTCCCACCATCATCCTATCATCACCAGTCCTTGGGATTTCTGCTCACCTCTGCTCACTTCTTTCCACTCATAGCCACCAGTAGCTCTCATCTCCTACTCAAACAGGGACAGCCTCCCCCTTCTCCCTGGGTCCTCACACAAGGCAACCAGTGGGATCCTTCTGTAATCTCAATCTGCCCGTACCCTCTCTTGCATAAAGCCTTCCATGGCTCCCCACTGCCCTCATGAGAAAGGCCTCAACACAAAGCCAGCCTTCTCCAGTGCGGTAGCCATCCCCTCCCCACTTTTCACCTCACCTCCTACTACCCCCCACTTATCAAACGGGAATGTGTGTATGAATCCTCCCTGGAATCTGGTTACAGTTTATGCTCCCAATCAGTAAGGTCAGAGTGGGGCCTGAGCCTCTGCATTTCCAACAAGCTCCCTGGTGATGCTGATACTCCCAGTCCATTGACCACACTTTGGATAGGAAGAGTCTACACTTGCTCTACTCAACTTCTCTCCATTCTGTCCTCAAACACACCACGCTTCCTTCCCCACCAGCTGGAGGGGGCTCTGCTCCCAGGCCCCAGAGGTCAAGGCAGACACAGTTAAGGTGTGGAAACCTCCTTATTGCCCGATGGATCCTCCAGAGAGGCGGTCCCTTACTTTCAGCAGGGCGCGTGTCTACCTGTTTCATGCTGTCTCACACACAGGGTGCCACCCCTGTGCTGGGCACTGGGTAAGTGCTCTGTACATATTAATTAGGAGTACTCATTTCAAAAATATGTGTGCCTTTGATAAATAAAAACAGTATGTGCATGTTGTGTTGGTGTGTGCTTCCTTGATTATTACTGAAGTTAAACATGTTTTCATCCATGTATTGACCATTTCTCTTTGTCCTTCAATGAAACCTCTGCTGATTTCCTTCGCTCATTTTTTTCCTGTGTCTTCGTCTGATGAGTTTCTCTTCTTTTTGTTTGTTCGTTTGTTTGTTTTGAGACAGTCTCGCTCAGTGGCCCGGCTGGAGTGCAGTGGTATGATCTCAGCTCACTGAAACCTCTGCCTCCAAGGTTCAAGTGATTCTCCTGTCTCAGCCTCCCGAGTGTGCCACCGCACCCAGCTAATTTTTGTATTTTTAGTAGAGACGGGGCTTCACCGTGTTGCCCAGGCTGGTCTCAAACTCCTGACCTCAACTGATCCGCCCATCTCTGCCTCCCAAAGTACAGGGATTACAGGCGTGAACCACCACACCCCACCTGTCTGATGGGTTTCTAAGAACATCTTAAAGGACATTACTTCCTTCTGACGTATCTTTTACCGAGATCCTTCCCAGTTTTTTGCTTAAGGTTAATCCATTTTTTCCTCCACAAAGTAACCTTGTATATGTATTGGTTTTTTCTTTGTTGAGTTCTCCCACTGTTCTGAGGCTTAGAAAGTCCTTTCATACCCAGACATCAGAGAAACAGATCCCGTGAGAGTAACTGGGATTGCAGGTGTGGGCCAGCATGCCCTGTTATCACTCCCTTTCTCTGAGTCAGCTTTTCTCTCTCAGTCTCGTCTACTCCTCGAACTCAGGAAATGTCACTACAGGTGGCCCCAGCTCCCGTTTACCTCCCCATAGGGAGCTCCTCTCTCCAGTTCCAGTTTCAAAACTCCCAAGGAAGCATTCTGGTTCACTCGCTTGGGCCACTGGCCAGAGGGATGGGATACTCTGAAAGATTCAGCTAGAGTCCCGGGCCCAGCCCTGGACCATCACTGTGCCCCCTGGTGAGATGCCAGGGCTGGGATTCAGGGAGAAGAAAGGAGGTTCCCGGACAGTCATTCCTGCCTCCCGCGGCTGCGGGCTCCCTGCCCCCATCCTGTGCACGAAGTGGGAGCTCCCGCTGTCTGGCAGCTCCCGCTGTCTGGCAGCAGCTGCTCTGCAGGGGACAGTCTGGACGGCAGAAAGTTCATCCTTAACCCCAGCCTTCCAGTCAAGGTTCCCACCAGTTTGGGACACCTGCAAGTGTCACATCCCACTGGGTGAAACTCTAAGATCCCTTTTAGGGGATCCCATTCGCTCCCTCCCTTCCGCCACCATGCAGCGCCGAGAAACAGAGCTCTGAACGAACCCTCAGATGTCCGTGCGCTGGGGCCTTTCCAGGACGGCGGCGCCCAGTCGTTTCTGGGTCAGGGCGACGCCTGGAACTGGGCAGGGTCCCTGGCACCGGGATCCCGAAAAGCAGACCTGCTTCTCCCTGTCCAGCCGGTTCCCCTTCCCCTTGCAGTCGGCCCCCTGCATCCGCGTCCTCCCTGCCAGTCGAGGGTCCCCAGCTCCAACTCCACCCTCCCAGCTGTGCGTTCATAGCGACCGCCCTCCCTGTAGGGACGCACGGATCTGGTGGTGGAGTCTTGGCCGGCAGGACTGGACAGGAACCGAAGGGGCGAGGCGGGTCCGGGGGTGGTGCGCTCCAATTGGGTGCTGTCCCCAGGGGGTGGGGCCTGATCCCCTATTTCCCGGCGCGCCGGGATCCTGCCACAGCTGCTGCCCACACCGCGCTCAGCGCCTTCACTGCCATCCCCGCTGTCCTTGCCGCCCCCGCCATGGGCCTAGAGCTGTTTCTTGACCTGGTGTCCCAGCCCAGCCGCGCCGTCTACATCTTCGCCAAGAAGAATGGCATCCCCTTAGAGCTGCGCACCGTGGATTTGGTCAAAGGTGGGCCCAGCCCGTTTCCCCGCGTGTCCACAAACCCAGTGCACCCCCAGGCCCCCGCCCTGCTCTGCCCTGAGCGTCTCGCCGCCCGCACAGCCCCCTCACCTCCTCCTGCAGCGTCTGCCACCAGAGAATGCTGTGGACTGAGTGGCCTTGAAGGGATCACAGCCTCTCTGAACCTTAGCTTGCCTTCTGAAAAGGAGGATAACGTTACCTTCTGCTCTGTAGGGATGGAAAGAAAATACTGAATGGAGTTGACAGAGTTCTTGCGTGGAATGCACGCATATAAATTCACAAAGCCCAGAAGACCTCGGGAAGAAGGACATACTGTTGTGAGAATTAAGAGATGGGAAGAGATGAGCCACCCCAGTTTGCCTCCCCTCCCCTGGCCCACCAGAGTCCGGCTAGAAAACTTCTCTTTATCCACCTGCTGCACCTGGCCCCACCCACCAAAACCCCCCAGCTGCCCCGGAATGTGGCAGGGCAGGGAGGCCCAGCCAGGGAGTGAGGCTGATCCAGGCCTCTAGTCCCAGACCTTGCTGTTTCTCAGGGCTGTGGGGCTCCGCTTGGGGAGGAGGAGGGAGGGTGTAGAGGTGCAGCGTTTTTACTCTGAAGACCTTTTCTGACTTCTTCCTCTTCAGGGCAGCACAAGAGCAAGGAGTTCTTGCAGATCAACAGCCTGGGGAAACTGCCGACGCTCAAGGATGGTGATTTCATCTTGACCGAAAGGTGCCCTCCTTCCCTCACCCCTCACCGCATCCGGAGCCCATGTGACCTTGGCTCTCCCCACTGGCCCCGGGCCCCAGTGGCCCTCCCATACCCCATGGGGCAGCGAGGGAGGGGAAAGGCGAGGGATCTGGCCGGGCGCGGTGGCTCACGCCTGTCATCCCGGCACTTCGGGAGGCCAAGGCGGGCGGATCACGAGGTCAGGAGACCGAGACCATCCTGGCTAACACCGTGAAACACCGTCTCTACTAAAAATGGAAAAAAAAGTTAACCGGGCGTGGTGGCGGGCGCCTGTAGTCCCAGCTACTCTGGAGGCTGAGGCAGGAGAATGGTGTGAACCCAGGAGGCGGAGCTTGCAGTGTGCTGAGATCGCGCCACTGCACTCCAGCCTGGGCGACAGAGCTAGACTCCGTCTCAAAAAGGCCGGGCGCGGTGGCTCACGCCTGTAATCCCAGCACTTTGGGAGGCCGAGGTGGGCGGATCACGAGGTCAGGAGATCGAGACCATCCTGGCTAACACGGTGAAACCCTGTCTCTACTAAAAATACAAAACATTAGCAGGGCGTGGTGGCGGCCGCCTGTAGTCCCAGCTACTGGGGAGGCTGAGGCAGGAGAATGGCGTGAACTCAGGAGGCGGAGCTTGCAATGAGCAGAGGTCGCGCCACTGCACTCCAGCCTGGGTGACAGAGGGAGCCCACTCCAGCCTGGGCGACAGAGGGAGACTCCGTCTCAAAAAAAAAGGAAAGAAAGAAAGGAGAGGTATCTGGGGAGAAGGTACAGCTTGGGGTGTGTCCGGGATGAGCAGGGGCTGACAGAACATGTCCCCCCACCTCTCATCTTCAGCCTTTTCTGAGCCGCAGGGCCTCTCCACTCCCAGACTGAAGGGTATTAGAAGAGAAGACAAGGGAACATTTTTCCACTGTTGCGCATTTGTTCAACAAATGCTAGCTGAAAAGAGCCTCTAGTGACTTGTCGCAGACTACCCAATCTACCCAGGCCGGGCCTAGAGGCCAATGCCATGGCCCAAGGGCACAGCTCATGGTGAGGTCCAGCTGCTGGGCAGGAAAAGGACAAGAGGTCAGGTGGCTGCAGAGGTGATGGCTGGGGGCCTGTCAGACGGGGGCCAAAGACATTCCTCCCCTCGTGATCCCTGACCCAAGCGCGTGGACATGCAAGGGACTCCACGGAGCATCCACTGTGTGCCAGCCCCATGCAGGGTTCCAGGGGTCCAGGGAGCCTATTCTGAGCTGCACCGCCTCGGACAAGTCACTTGACCATTCTGACCTTGAGTTTTCTCTTGTGCTAAAAGGCTAACAGGAGTGTCTACCTCACAGGGCGGCTGCTGGCATATCACAGAGATGAGGTTCTCAAAATGCAAAGCAGAAGGTCCAGCCAAGAGTCGGTGCCCAAGGCAACAAAGACAGGAGGAGACTCGTAGGAGGAGGGGGTGGTGTTGGGGAGCTGGAGATGGAGGGCGAGGCTGGAGGGCAGTCCTTCAAATGCAGAGAAGCCCCCGGGCCCCACTGGCAGATGGGAGCAGTTAGGGGTAAATGCCTGGTGCCAGTGTCCTTATAGCCACTGCCCATTTGTTCCCAGCTCGGCCATCCTGATTTACCTGAGCTGTAAGTACCAGACGCCGGACCACTGGTATCCATCTGACCTGCAGGCTCGTGCCCGTGTTCATGAGTACCTGGGCTGGCATGCCGACTGCATCCGTGGCACCTTTGGTATACCCCTGTGGGTCCAGGTGAGGAGAGCCATCTGGAGAGTGATTGGCCATCAGGGAGTAGTTGGCAGTAGGCCGGGGCCATAGACTGACCCACTCTCTGCCCCCATCAGGTGTTGGGGCCACTCATTGGGGTCCAGGTGCCCAAGGAGAAGGTGGAACGCAACAGGACTGCCATGGACCAGGCCCTGCAATGGCTGGAGGACAAGTTCCTGGGGGACAGGCCCTTCCTCGCTGGCCAGCAGGTGACACTGGCTGATCTCATGGCCCTGGAGGAGCTGATGCAGGTGTGAGCTCAGCCTGTGGGCAGTGTCCCTCTTCGTGTCACACCCATGAGGCAGACAGAAACACTGAGGACTGGAGAAAGCCAGAACTTTGCCCAGAATCATAGAGCAAGTCTCTGGATGATCTGGGGCCAGAACCCTGAACTTCTGCCTCCTGCCTGGGTGTGGGGTCTCACCCTGGCTGCTCTTGGGCTCTAAGGCTGAACATACTGCCTGGGCCCCTGTGGTCCATTCACTTAGGGGCTGGGGAATGGACCATGTCTCTGATACTTCTGCCCATGGTTCCAGCATTCGGGTCGGCAGTGACAACTGGGAAAGTTGTATGCCCACAACTTTTTCATCCTTGTCCCTACAGCCGGTGGCTCTCGGCTATGAACTGTTTGAGGGACGGCCACGACTGGCAGCATGGCGTGGACGAGTGGAGGCTTTCCTGGGTGCTGAGCTATGCCAGGAGGCCCACAGCATCATCTTGAGCATCCTGGAACAGGCGGCCAAGAAAACCCTCCCAACACCCTCACCAGAGGCCTATCAGGCTATGCTGCTTCGAATCGCCAGGATCCCCTGAAGGGTCTGGGATGGGGGCCAGGAGATTAGCAACAAGGATTCATTCTGTTACTTACTTGCCCCTTTTTATCTTTCCCTCTTGCCCCAGTCCCTTCTCTCCAGCTTCATGTGAAGCTCTGCACAGACAAGACACTCAGTGTCCTTGGCAGTGCTGCTACTCCTCAGGTGCAGCATACATAACCAGTAAGAGACTAAATCTGCAATATATAAAGAGCTCCTACAAATCAGTAACATGAAGAACACTCAAAAATTGGCAAATGTCATCAGTGTTTTAAACAGAATAAAGATTCCAAACACTTTGAATAGAGAACCAAGAGTTATTGGTTTTACTACATTGTTGTGTTATACATATGGAGTAAAAGTATGTGCTAGTAATCCTCATCATGGTTAATAACAAAGTAACCTCACAATAACGAGTCAACATAATTGTATCACCAGGGCAACAAAATGTTAAGTAAGTAACCAATTCGAATTGCAAACTGTTAAAGGATATAGGCGATGTTTCACAGGGCATAGCAACGGTCTTTGAAGTCTAGGAAACTTAAAAGATTTCTTTTAACAAGCATTCATGTCTTCTAGGACAGTTTTGTAATAACTGCAAATAGTAAGATTATACATTGTCACACAGACCTCCATGTATATCCATGGGATGGACCCCACCACAATGATTTTAACGGAGAGAACTTGATATAAAGAATTGGTAACCAGGCATTAGAGAACTCCGAAGACAGAGAGAATCCAGATTAACACGGAGGTAAACACTGCAAGAAGCTACCACCCCTAGGGCTGGGGGATCAAGGGAGGAATTAGGAAGACCAAGATGCTGGAGGGGCCCTGAAGAATTCAAACCTCCAAGAAAGGTGTTGCTCATCCCCCCTAGCATCACCTTCCAAGAAGGGCAGGTTTCCCCAGTTTGCCCTGAGGTCTTCACAGGAGGCCATGTGGCTGTGGATGCAGTTCTCAAATGTGACAGTAGATGTCACTGCTGACCAATAAACAGGATGTTCCAGACACACTCTGCGCTACCTGCCCACATGTCTTGTGGCTTTGGGGCCTATTTCCCATGCCTGACCTGTGCCCACCATGTGCCACTCTATTGGGGGACCTGCCCCAATAATCACGTAGATTGTTTCCTATTTTTCCTAAGTGTCGGCCGGCTTGAGAAATAAAGGGACAGAGTACAAAAGAGAGAAATTGTAAAGCTGTGCATCCGGGGGAGACGTCACACGTTAGTAGGATCTGTGATGCCCCACAAGCCACAAAAACCAGCAAGTTTTTATTAGGGATTTTCAAAAGGGGAGGGAGTGTGCAAATAGGTGTGAGTGACAGACATCAAGTACTTAACAGGGTAATAGAATATCACAAGGCAAGTGGAGGCAGGGCGAGATCACAGGATCACAGGACCGAGGCAAAATTAAAATTGCTAATGAAGTTTCGGGCACCATTGTCATTGATAACATCTTATCAGGAGACAGGGTTTTGAGACCAACCGGTCTCACCAAAATTTATTAGGCGGGAATTTCCTCTTCCTAATAAGCCTGGGAGCACTATGGGAGACTGGAGTCTATCTCACCTCTGCAGTCTCGACCATAAGAGAGAGGCCACGCCCGGGGGGCTGTTTATAAGCCGATACCTCCAGGTGCGTATTCTCTTTCTCAGGGACATTCCATGCTGAGAAAAAGAATTCAGCGATATTTCTCCCATTTGCTTTTGAAAGAAGAGAAATATGGCTGTGTTCTGCCCGGCTCACCGGTGGTCAGAGTTTAAGGTTATCTCTCTTATTCCCTGAACAATTGCTGTTATCCTCTTCTTTTTTCAAGGTGCTCAGATTTCATATTGCTCAAACACACATCCTGTACAATTTGTGCAGTTAATGCAATTATTAAAGGGTCCTGAGGCGACATACATCTTCCTCAGCTGACAGGATTAAGAGATTAAAGACAGGTATAGGAAATCATAAGGGTGTTGATTGGGGAAGTGATAAGTGTCCATGAAATCTTTACAATTTATGTTTAGAGATTGCAGTAAAGACAGGCATAAGAAACTATAATAGTATTAATTTGGGGAACTAATAAATGTCCATAAAATCTTCACACTCCACGTTCTTCTGTCATGGCTTCAGCCGGTCCCTCTGTTTGGGGTCACTGACTTCCTGTAACACCACTCCTAGCCGGAAGTATTCCAAGTAACCATTGCAACTGTCCTGCCTTAAGGGTGCCTGGTGATGGCTTCTGTCTTAGGTCCCATTCTGGCTCTCTCTTCCAGTGATTTCTCATACTTTGGGGGACACTCTGGCCTGCTTTCCTGGGCCTTTTCCATTACCACCCCCTCTCCCCATCAGGCACTGGGGATGGCGGCCACAGCCTATGCCTTCTTGATCCATGCTGGCTGCCTTGGGATTGTTCCTTATTGGATGGTTTTGCTTTCAACAGACACTCCAATAAAGTACACGAAATAAAGAATAAAGTTAAACAGTCAGTCCCCGTGCTGTGTAGGTGGCAGTAAGTCTGGGAGAGCGACCTCAGCTGAACTAACCATGCTGTGCATCATTGTCAAGCGGGACCAGCAGGATCCTTAGGTCACCTGGCAGGAGGAGGGGCAGGGAAGGGTCCCTAGAAGTGATCTTGAGTTGCACTTAGTGCTCTTGGCAGAGGGAAGGGCTTGGGCTAGTGCTGGAGGCATGAAGATGGGGTGTGTTCAGGGCTCTCCAGCAGTCCAGGCATGGGAAGGGGACGCTGAGGGCCAAAGGCTAAGGTGACACTGGGAAGGGAACCATAGCAAGGTGAGGAATGGCTTTCGGCCATGTGACTGAATTGCCTGTGTGTGGTGCGTGTGTACGTGTGTGAATGTCAGTGAACTGTGTGTGTGAACGTGAGTGAATTGTGTAACTTTGTTTATGTGTGGGTGTATATGTGTGTGATGTGAGTGAACTGTGTGTATGTGGGTGTATATGTGTGTGATGTGAGTGAACTGTGTGTATGTGGGTGTATATGTGTGTGGTGTGAGTGAACTGTGTGTAAGTAGGTGTATATGTGTGTGAATTTGAATGGTGTGTAAATGTGACTGAGCAGTGTGAATTTGTGTATGTGGGTGTATGTGTGTGAGTGAACTGTGTGATTTTGTTGGTGTGAATTGTGTGCCTGTGTGTGTGAGGTGTGTGTGTGTGTGTGACTGAACTGTGTGATGACTTTGTATTAATGTCAGTGAATGGTGTGGTTGTGTATGTGGGTGTATATGTGTGTGTATGTATGTGAATTGTGTGTGGGGTTGGTGTGTATGTGTGTCAATGTGAGTGAGTTGTGTGACTGTTGAATATGAGTGAATTATGTGATTGTGTGGGTGTATATGTGTGTACAGGAGTTAACTGTGTGACTGTGTGTAAATGTTATGATTGTGTGTGTGGGTGTATATGTGTGAATGTGATACATCGTGTGACTGTGGGTGGACGTGGGTGGATGTGTGTGTGAGTGTGCGTGGCTGTGTGTCGAACAGTGTGTGAGTGTAAGTGTGCAGGTGGTAGCTGTGGAATTAAGGCACATTAGGGGAATCCTTCCTTGGCTCTGGTCCTTGGTTTCCCTCCTATGAAACAAGTTGGGTGAATTAGGCAGTCTCTGGCATTCCAGGATTTGGTCTCAGGTCTAAACAGGATTTTGTAAAGTGAAAGCAGCATCCCTTGGGCATCCCGGGAGGTGTCCCTGCCCTCCATGGCTCACCTTCTGCCACATGGCCCAGCAGCAGCTACTCTGCAGGGCCATGTGCTGCCATGACAGGTACTGATCCCCATGGGCGCGGGCCTGCAGGTCCTGGAGGTACCAGTGGTCAGGTGCTTTGTACATGCAGCTCATATAGAGCAAGCTAGCCACACTGGGGGGACATGGCAGGGGCAGAAGACATGCCCTGAACACTCTTCAGCCATTTTCTGGGGCATTTTCACTATCCCCATGATGCAGAGGAGGGATGTGAGGCTCAGAGAGGTTAGGTAACTGCCCAGGGTCACACAGCCCTACACGGGGCCAGATTATCATCTCAACTAATGGCAGCAAGGAAGAAACAAAATGTCATGAACTTCAGCAGGGGCTCAGGGAAGGCTTCCAGGAGGAAGGGGCACCCAGTGTGAGTCTGAAGAATGAGAGCAAGTTGGGTATCTCCCCAACATATCCAAAGCATGGACAGGGCCAGGAGCAAGGCCAGCAGGGAGAGAGCCTTCCAGGTGACATGGCAGCATTGCTCCCCACCCCGTCCCATCTCCTGTTCACCTATGGTGAAGGGTTGTGCAGTCTGACCCCCAGAGCTCATCATGCCTCTATGGGTGTTGGACCATCCAGTGATCCCAGGCTCTGAATGTGAATCCAGCTCCACCAAGGAGGCACTATGTGGCCTCGGTAAAGGACGCCACCATGCGGCCACCAACCTGGAGGCTGGTTTTGGCTTTCATTTTTCCCACCCACCTCCAACCCTTCAGCACACCCTGCAGTTAGAGTTTCAAGAAAAGTCAGAACCGACCATCACCCCACCAACCCTGCACCACCACCACCTTGGTCTGGGGCTCCAGCGCTGCATGCCAGATGACTGCAGTGGCTTTCTCACCCCTGCCAGGGGGATCCTTTATGACGTAAGTCAGATCACAGTTCTCCTCTGCTCAAAATACTCCAGCGACTCAATCCCCCTGCGGTAAGAGCCAAAGCCTTCCCAGTGTCCCATGCTCCCCTCTGTCGTGACCTCCTGCTCTTCCTGCTCACTACACCCACCCTGGCCCGTTGCTCTCCAGTCTGAACCCCATGCATTGTCCCACCTGGAGCCTTCGCCCTCACTCTTCCCTCCAGCCAGAACACCCTTCTCCTCATGCCTTGCACATTCCTACAGCTCTCTGCTCAGATGCCACTTCCTCCAGGGAGTCTTCCCTCAACATCCTACTCACACACCCCCAATCTTACCCTGTTTATTTTTTCCATGGCATCCATCAACATCCGATATGTTCCATGTTTACATGGGTTACTGTCAGCTCCCCCTTCTATTAATGGAATGTGAGATCCATGAGGAGAAGGACGTAGACACGTTCACTGCTCAAGCCCCAGGGCTTAAATGGGGTCTGGCCCTGGTGGATGTTTAGCAAATAGCCACTGAAGCTCGCTGAGTGGTCCCTCGACTCTCCAGGGAAACAGCACTTGCCCCACAGGATTTGTGGGCAAAATGGTAGCACTAAGATGCCTGGTACAGCCGCTCCTCGAAACTTAGCACTCTCCTTTTTTCGGAGGGGAAGGCTGGCGGTGAGGAGGCCCGGAAGCAGACTGGGCCCTGTGGCCTTGTGCAAGTCCCTCCCCTCCTCCAGCCTCAGTTTCCTCACTTGTACAATGCAGGAGGGGACTTCTATAACCCTTGTCAACACTGGGCACCACTGCCTGCCTCCACCCATTCTTCACCCTGGGGCTGGTGCAGGGCCCACAGTCCATGATCCAAGCCATCAACAGTGAACAGACAGCCGACTGGCCCCACAAGGCCCGGCAGCAGCCCACGGACCGGTTACCTCTCAGCCAAGGTGAAGTCCCCATCCTTCAAGGCCCGGCACCTTCCTCAGGGGGTTCACCTGGGCAAAGGCATCGCTGTGCTGCTGGCCTGCAGGAGAGATCAGAGAGGTGAGTGGGGATAACCCAGAGTTCTCTGAGGTCTCTGCCCACCCCCACCCCAAAATCCCAGCAGCAGCTTTCTGAGGCCCCTATCTGGGAGGCATCAGGGAAGAGGAAGCCTCTCTGCTAGTCACTGGGTCACAGACCTTGACCCCATCAGAGGGCCATCTTTCCTGTGTCCAGCTCCTTGAAGCATGGCTCAAGGACAATTCCCTGGAGCTGTAATTCACACCCCACCCCCAGCCAGTTCCATCCATAGGTCAGACCCCTCCAGCCTCCTCCCTGGGCTCTAGGCTTGCCCCCTCTGATTCAGCTTCCTATCCCAGCTGGGGACTTAGGCCCTACTGGCCAGGCTGGGTGACCTGTCAATACCCCAGAGTCCCAGCCAAACATGTTCCCAACCCTCAGACCAACCTCATTCTTGCTGGGAATCCCTGCCCCATTCAGCCACTCAGCCCCCGGTGGCTCAGCTCTTCTTCCTTTCTTATGCCAAACTCTCAAGGCTCCCTCCCCACTGGGGGTTCCCAGGTCTGACTCACTTTAGCATTCTAGGCCAGTGCTAGAGGCCGCATTAGGTGCCTGGTGTTTGGATCAGAGGACCTCAGTCAAGCCAGGCTCCAGTCTGATCATAGGCCTACATGTGGGCCTCTTTGCCCTTCTACTGAATGGACATGCACACCCCTGCCCATTCTCCCTCCACAGACTGCTTCTGTGTCCAGCCCCTGTTCTGTAGCAGGTGACTCAAGCTGGTTGTACCAAGGGCAGCAGTTGGGAAGAGTCAGCTGAGCAGGGTCCTCCCTCTGGCCTGCCCAGGGGGCTCTGGCTCTGCTCTCTGCCCTACTGCTTAGTTATAGCCCTGCCTCCTCCACTGAATTGTGCTCCAGCTGCATCTCTGTATGCCAGCCAGACCAGCAAACGCTGGAGCTCAGGGTGAGGGTGCTGGCCTCCCCCACTGCCCTGCCACAGGGCCCTCCAGCCTCTAGCCTCTAGGAGTAGCCCCTTCAGCTGGGTGAGAAGCCCCATGGGATAGAGCAAGTCAGATGCAGGAAAAAGAAAAGACAGAAGAATGCCAAGAAATACATAAAAGTGGAAGAGACCCAGGGCCAGACATGGTGGTGCATGTCTGTGATCTCAACACTTTAGAAGGAGGAGGCAGGAGGATCACTTGAGCTCAGGAGCTCAAGGTCAGCCTGGTCTACATGGCAAAATCACGCGTCTACACACACCAAAAAAAAAAAAAAAAAAAGTAGCTGGGCACGGGGACGTGCCTGTAGTCCCAACTATTCTACTTAGGAGGAGTAAGTTGGGAGGATCACTTGATCCTGAGAGGTCAAGGCTGCAGTGAGCCGGGATCATGCCACTGCCCTCTAGCCTGGGCTGCAGATTGAGACACTGTAATAAATAAATAAATAAATAAATAAATAAATAAATAAACAAACAATAAAAAAGTGGAAGAGACACAGGCAGGGGTAGACAGGGACTATTTTACTTAGGAAACAACGAGGCAGTTTGTTTTTTCCAAGCACATGGGGTGAAGATATTCTTGCCCCACTCCATTTCCCTACCCTCGTTCTGTGCCTGCTGTGCCCTCTCTAAACCTGTATTTTGAAGAATGTTTTGTATTCACAAGCAAAGATCAAGCCTCTATTAAAATAGACAACCAGTGGGGCATGGCGGCTCATGCCTGTAATCCCAACACTTTGGGAGGCCAAGGCAAGAGGATCACTTGAGCCCAGGAGTTCTAGGCCAGCCTCGGAAACACAGCAAGACCTCCTCTCAATAATAATAATAATAATAATAAATTGGCCAGGCATGTCGGTGGGCACCTGTAGTCCCAGCTACTTGAGGGGCTGAGGCGGGAGGATCGCTTAAGCCTGGAAGGTCGAGGCTGCAGTGAGCCATGATTGTGCCACTGCACTCCAGCCTGAGTGACAGAGTTAGATGCTGTCTCCAAAAAGTAAAAATAATAACATAGATAATTATGTAATAGTTTCCACACCGGAGAGTCTGATTCTTCGTGTTAGTCTGCATTCTTGGCCCGACTGCAAAGCAGCGGGGACAGGCAGGGATTCGTGGCCAATATCCCCTGGGCCTGCCTGCCCAGCCCAGCTTTGGTCAGCTCCACTGTGCGAAGCTCGAAGGGGATGCCATTCTTGGCGAAGATGTAGACTGAACGGCAGGGCTGGGACAGCAGACCCATGGCGGGGGCAATGGGGTGGGGCGTCGGAGGGCAGACCTAAACCCAGGGGACGGGCCCTGGGGACAAACCCGGGGACAGGCCCGGGAACAGGAACTGCGGGCAGGAATGGCTGGTTGGGGGCGGCGGACAGGAACGGCTGGGGGTAGGTGAGGGATGGGCAGGAACTGCTGGGTCACCGAGCCTGCAGCGGTGCACCTCACCAGGAGCCCCGAGTCCGGCCACGCCCTCTTCACTCATCCCTTGGCTCCTAGAACTTTGGGTCAATCAGTGGCGTGTCTGCTCTCTCACCACCCCTTTCTGGGAATCTAGGCTGCAGGTATATTTCCCACTAAAAGGGAAGAGGAGAGGCTGGGCGCGGTGGCTCACGCCTGTAATCCCAGCACTTTGGGAGACCGAGGGGGGTGGATCACGAGGTCAGGAGATCGAGACCATACTGGCTAAAACGGTGAAACCCGTCTCTACTAAAAATACAAAAAATTAGCCGGGCGGGGTGGCGGGCGCCTGTAGTCCCAGCTACTTGGGAGGCTGGGGCAGGAGAATGGCGTGAACCCGGGAGGCGGAGCTTGCAGTGAGCCGAGCTCACGCCACTGCACTCCAGCCTGGGCGACAGAGCCATACTCCGTCTCAAAAAAAAAAAAAAAAAAAAGGAAGAGGAGAAAGGAGGTGCAGCAGCCTCCTTGCCCAGTGCCTGGGCCCAGTGCCCAGGACGGAGGCCAGAGAGGAAGGGTGGCTGACTGCCTGCGGGGCTGCCAGCCCCACACCTCATGAAGGAATGAGCTGTCCCTCCCCAGTTGCTGGGGTCATATTTGTTACACTCTAGCTAACGCCTCCCCGAGATGGCTGAGGCCCTGTGAGGCCTATCCAGAGGTTTCCAACAGTGCCTGGCATTGCACAGTAAATTAATCACCATGACACGAGTTTTGCAAAAGAGAAAAGATTTATTCACAGGGCACCAAGCAAGGATGTGGGATAGTAGCTCTCAAATCCACCTTCCCGAAAATAAGGCTTAGGGATAAGCCTTGCTTCCAAGCAGTAGAGCACAGGCCCCAGCCACGCTCCAGGGTAGGGGACCATACAAGGATGTGAATAGCAGTGTCGGCCTTGTGGGCCTACAACGCAGAAGGGCCATGCACTTGGTTTAAAGCTTTGCTGTTGCCATCTTAACATTCTTAACAAGTTAAAAATAAGGGTCCCCACATTTTCATTTATAGCCAGTCCTGTCCAAGGAGTTCAAAGATCTCATGAGGGTGGACAGGGCACTGTCTGCTCTGGGCAGTGATGGGACCACTAACAGTTGTTCTCCAGTCTCCCAGCGCCTACCCCAGGGACACACCTTCCCCTGGTCTCTACTATTCTTTTTTTTTTTCGAGACAGGGTCTTGCTGTTGCCCAGGCTGGAATGAGTGCAGTGGTACAAACTTAGCTTACTGCAGCCTCGACCTGGGCTCAAACAATCCTTCTGCCTCACCCTCCCATGTAGCTCAGACCACATGCGCATGCCACCAATCTGGGCTAATTTTTTGACTTTGTAGAGACGGGGTCGCACTTTGTTTCCCAGGGTGCTCTTGAATTCCTTGGCTCAAGTGATCCTCCCACCTCAGCCTCCCAAAGTGCTGGGATTATAGGTGTGATCCACCACCCCTGGCCTCTCTCACATTCTTGACATTTAAAGTTACCATCATTGACAAGGAACATGGGTACACTCCAATTTACTCAAGAAAAAGCTCTTTTCTCCATTGAAGACATATGTGGCCTAGCTGCTTCATATTCTAGTTGAGGTCTTCTTGTTGTTTCCTTTTTCTTCTTCTCTCTTGTTTTTTAGAGACGAGGTCCTGCTGCGTTGCCCAGGCTGGTCTCAAAGTTCTAGCCTCAAGAGACCCTCCTGCCTTGTCCTCCCAAAGTGTTGGGATTACAGGTGTGAGCCACTCTGTCCAGCCTCAAACTGTGGTCATTAGATCAGCAGCAGTAGCAGCCTTGCCTGGGAGCTTGTTAGAAATATACTAACAGGCTCCCACCCCCAAACCCAGACCTACTGAATCAGACAGAGTTTATTTTCATAAGATCCTCAGGTGATCCAAATGCACCTTAAACTTTGAGGAGCTTTGATTCAGAACCTGGGCTGGAGGCCCCTAGGGGCCACCTTGTTCCTCACAGACTGCAAGGTATGTTTTTTTCTTGCCTCTTCTCTCTGTCCCAATGTCTCCTTCTCTCTGTGTCTGACCCTGAGGACCCTGTGACATCCTCCCAGGGGAGTTTCCACTGCCAAAGGCCTGATTCTCTAGAAACTGATGGGCTCCTCTAGACACCAATCTCTACCTGGGCTCTTGTTGAAGAAGCCAATCAGCTCATTGGTTGGCGATCACGTGATATACAACATGGCTGCCTTCCAAGCCTTATGTGTGGACAAGGAGATAGGGACAAGTAGGCATATCATGTTCTGCTACCTGGTCCATCGTCTCTCCTCAGGCCCCCAGGATACACGTTTATGGGGAGTTTTCCTCCCTTCCCCCAATATGGTCACTCATAACTTTACACCCAACAGTCAAACAGGGGTGGAAGCTACAGGGTTTCATGTAAACAATAGGCTAGGCTGTGGGGCTGAGTAAAAGGCACTGGACTGTGGTAGGTCTTACTCCAAGATGGCCAAATGGAAGGGCTTTTAGCTTTCTTTGTTTTTGTTTTATATTTTGAGATATAATGTTCAAATTTACACTTCAGAATAAAAAAGAGCCACAATTTATGCTTCATATTTTTTGTAGCTTCTTCCCTATGCTTTTGAACAATGTAATCATATTTTCATTATCAGATATAATTCCCATACCATAATATCCACCCTTTCAAAGTATACTTTAAAATTCAATTGGTTTAAAGCCAATTCAGTGGTTTTTAGTATATTAACAAAGTTTTGTCACCATCACAGTTATCTAATTCTAGATCATTTTCATCACCCAAAAAGAAACTCTGTACCCAATAAAGAGTCACTCCCCATTCCCCTCTTCCCCTAGCCCCTGGTTACCATTCATCTACTTTCTACCTCTGTGGATAGGAAGTAGCTGCCTATTCTGGAGATTTCATTCAAATGTAATAATGAAATATGTGGCCTTTTATGACTGGCTTCTTTCATTTAGCATAATGGTGTCAAGGTTCATCCATGTTGTAGCATATAACGGTACTTCATCCCTTCTTATGGCTGAATAATATTCAATTTTATGGACTTTTTAGCAAAACATTCTAATTTTTACTTCTCTACTGTGCTTATTGTTTGTCTTTCTCCACAACAATGTGAGCACTAAAGGCAGACATTTTTGCCTATTTTGTTCACTACTGCTTTTTCTGCACCAAACGCATTGCCTGGTTGTGGGTACTTTTCTAGTTTTAGGAAGGAGAAGACAAGATATAGGTCCTGACTCTGGTTCTGCCTCTCATTCATATGCTACCCTTCCCCTTGAAGAACTTGTTTCTTCATCTACAAAATGGGCATAATACTACTACTCATCAGGGTGGTTGTGAGGATTAAACAAGGTAAGAGATGTAAAATTGCATGTTAGTTATCAGATAGATTTGTGTTCCCATCTAGCTCCAATGAGGGAGAGGATTTGCTCTAGTCTGTCCCTCTGGGCTCTGGGCTTCTAATGGGCAGACAGCTTCCTCCATGATGTTTGTAGCTGTTAAGGCTGGCGTAGTCCCTCAAGACAAGTTTTTTTTTTGTTTGTTTGTTTTTTTTTTGAGTCAGAGTATCGCTCTGTCACCAGGCTGGAGTACAGTGGTGCGATCTTGGCTCACTGCAATCTCTGCTTCCCGGATTCAAGCGATTCTCCTGCCTCAGCCTCCTGAGTAGCTGGGATTACAGGCATACGCCACCACACCCAGCTAATTTTAAGACAAGCTTTTGGAATTGAACTGCTGATGGTCTTCCATGAACAATTCAACAGAAACCCAGTAGCGTACACTTCCTTGTATGCACTTGCACCCTCTCTTTACATTTATTACACATTTAATGCTACCTAATAATTCCCTATACTTTTACTTTATCCAATCGTTCAACAGATTCCAACCGAAATACATAGAAGAGTGATATTCCAACTTCATCAGACCCTGAGATTCTATTTTTAACATTTCTTCCATGGATTGTTGAATGTTTCCAATGATTGATCCACCTTCCCTTGGCCTTTTCTACATTACAGATTTGGTGGCATGTCCATGTCTATGTTGCCAAACTTGCCTCATAGACCCAGCTTGAACACAAGATGGGTGCTTGCTGAAGAGCAGGACTCATTCTGTTGAACCTGCATGTTTTCTCAGGTCAGATTGCTTGGTGGCGCTTCTTTAATTTCTTTCAACAGCACATTGTAGTTTGCTGTGTTGAAATGTTGCTTTTCTTTGGTTAAATTTATTCTATTTTATTCTTTTTGATGGTATTATAAATGGAAGTGTGGTTTTAATTTTGTTTTTCATCCTTTATTGCAAATGTATACTATTGATTTTTGTGTATTAATCTTGTACCCTGCAACCTTGCTGAACTTATTTTATTTTATTGAGATGGAGTCTCAGTCAGTCACCCAGGCTGGAGTGCAGTGGCTTGATCTTGGCACACTGCAACCTCCACCTCCTGGGCTCTGGTGATTCTCCTGCCTTTGCCTCCTGAGTAGCTGGGACTACAGGCATGCGCCACCACGCCCGGCTAATTTTTGTATTTTTAGTAGAGACGGGGTTTCACCATATTGGACAGGCTGGTCTCAAACTTCTGACCTCATGATCTGCCCGCCTTGGCCTCCCAAAGTGCTGGGATTACAGGTGTGAGCCACCGTGCCCAGCCTTGAACTTGTTTATTAGCTCTAATGGTTTTTAAGTGAGTTAAGAATTTCTGTAATGTCATCTGTGAATAGAGATGGTTTTACTTCTTTCTTTCTGATCTAGATTCCACCTTGTTCCTTTTTCTTGCCTAATTGCCCTAATAAGTAGAAGTAGTGTGAATGAACATTCTTGTCCTGTTCCTGATCTTAGGGGGGAAACGCTTGATCTTTCACAATGGATGAAGTATGGTGTTAGTTATAGGTTTTTCATAGATGCTTTTTGTCAAGTTGAGGAAGTTCCTTTCTCGTCTTCATCTGCTGAGTAATTTTATCGTAAAAGGATGTTAGGTTTTGTCAAATGCCTTCTGTGCATTAGGATGATCATGTGACTTTCTATTAACATGGTATGCTACACTGATTGATTTTTGTATGTTGAACTGCATTTGTACTCCTGGGATAAATCCTACCTGGTCAAGGTGTATGATCCTTTTAATATGCTGCTGGATTTGATTTGCTAATATTTTGCTGAGGATTTTTACATCTATATTTATAAGGATATTGCTTTGTAACTTTATTTTCTTGTAATGTCTTTTTCTGTCTTTGGTATCAGAGTAATTCTGGCCTCATAGTATGAGTTGAAAAATATTTCTTCCTGTTTTATTTTTTTGGAAGAGTTTGTGAAGGCTTTGTGTTAGTTCTTCAAGCTTTTGGTTGAATTCACCAGGGAAGCCATCTGGTCCTGGGCTTTTCTTTGTGGAATTTTTAAAAATAATTAATATTTTAATCTCTTTATTTGTTACAGGCCTATTAAAATTTTATCTTTCTTCTTAAGTCAGTTTTGGTAGATTGTGTGTTTCTAAAATTTTCCCATTTCATCTAGGTTGTCTAAATTGTCCACATATAGTTATTCATAGTATTTCTAAACTTTTGAATTTCTCTATGACCAATGTGATGTCTCCATTTTCTTTCTTTCTGGTTTCCATTTCATTTTTTCATTTTTGTTTTTGTTTGTTTTTTGAGATAAGGTTCTTCTATGTGCCCAGGCTGGAGTGCAGTGGTGCAATCATAGCTCGGTGTAACCTTGAACTCTTGGACTCGAGTGATCCTCCCACCTCGGCCACCCAGTTAGCTAAGACTACAGGCTTGCACCACCACACCAAGCTAATTTTTTTAAAAAATATATTTTTTAGAAAAAAGTCTCATTGTGTTACCCAGGCTGTTATCAATCTCCTGGCCTCAAGTGATCCTTCTGCCTCTGCTTTCCAAAGTGCTGGGATTGCAGGTGTGAGCCATTGCACCCAGCCTCCACTTTCTTTCTTGGTGAATAATTTGACCCTTATTTTTTTCACTTGGCTATTCTAAGTAAAGGTTTGCCAATTTTGTTGATCTTTGCAAAGATCCAATTTTTGGTTTTATTGATTTTATTGCTTTTCTATTTTCTATTTCATTTATCTCCATTCTAATCTTTATTATTTCCTGTTTTCTAGTGGTGTTGGGTTGAGTTTGCTCTTATTTTTCTAGTTCCTTAAGGTGTAAAGTTAGGTTATTGATTCAAGATCATTCTTCTTTAACTTATGTGTTTACAGCTATAAATTTTGCTCTTAGAACTGCTTCTGCTGCATCCTATAAATCTGGGCATGTTGTGTTTTCATTTTTATTTGTTCAGGATACTTTTTGATGTCCCTTGTGATTTCTTCTTTAACCCATTTGTTGTTTAAGAGTGTGCTGTTTAATTTCTATGTGCTTGTGAGTTTTCTAGTTTTCCTTCTGTTCTTGATTTTTAACTTTATTCCACTGTGTCCAGAGAACATACTTTGTGTGATTTCAATCATCTTAAATTTGAGACTTAGGACCAAATATATGCTCTATACTGGAGAATATTCCATGTGCTCTTTAGAAGAATGCTTATTCTGCTCCTGTCGGGTGGAACGTTCTGTTCATGTCTAGTGTATGCGATTGGTTAATCGTGCTTTTCAAATTCCCTATTTCCTTGATGGTCTTCTGTAGTTTTTCTATTACTGAAAGTGGGGTATTGAAGTCACCAACTATTATTACTCACAATGTAACCATATTTAACCCTTTACTTTTAAAATTCTTTTTGGAAACTGGAAGGATCTGTAACCACCACCCACTCCCACATCAGACCCTATGCATATGCCAACTGTCTGCTGCTCAGCAGCTGTGATGGTTGTTCCAGTTCTTTATTAGGCAAAGAACAGTTGTTTTTTTGTTTTTTTGTTTTTTTTTTTTTAACATTTCCTTTAAGGAAGGTGGCTCAGATTGCTAAGCCAGCCAGGCCCTGCGGGACAGGCTGCGCCTAGGGTCACCTGCTCTTCTTCAGCAACTCAGAAATATTCTCCTTGACCATTGAATCCAATGTTGAAAAGTCCCAGTCGGCCAACTGCATTAGTCGATCATGGGCCTCCCTAAAGAGGCCAGAGCCAATATTCAGCTCCACCTGCATACGCCACTCAGCTAGCTTGGAGCTGTTGAGGAAGACATTATAGTTGGCTGCCATGGGCTGTAGATAGACGAAGACAAAGACGTGGTCAGCCTGGGGACCAGCCCCACCTGGGTCCTCTCCCACAGCCTCAGGCCCACGTCCCTAACATCTACCTATGCAAAGAATTAGGCTGCTGACCCCCAAGGCCTGAGCAAGGGGTCACAGACTATGTAATAGATGTAGGTGGGGATGGAGGATCCAGAATCCCTCAGAGTCCTCAGTCACTGGTCTTCTTGCTCCAAGCCTTCTGAACCATGCTGAGAGGGCTCCTGGCCCAGGCACTTCCCACTTCTCCAGCCTGCGACCTCGCATGAATCCTGCCTTCTTCCAGGGAAACCCCTTATCCCAGGTGTGTATATGTGGATGAGGGAGAGAACTCAGGTTTTTTCCTCCATGTTTAGCCTCCCACTGTGATCAAGCTCAGGGGCTAGGATGGGAGACCTGGCGGGCAGTCTACCCTGCAGTTTCGCTGGCTTACTAAGAGTTTGGTTTGCACCCAAGATCTTTGGGAAGCCCAAGAATGGGTGTGTGTGGGTGAAATGTAAGGGGTGGGGACGAAGCATATGGCTGAACCCTTGGGGCAGGCCAGAATGATTTTTCCTGGTGCTGGTCTGCCCTGCAAACAGACCAAGGAGACTAATTTTCATATCAGCCAGAGATCTCTGGGATAAGGAAAAGAATACTGCATTTTCTGGTCAATCCACCAGGACCCCAGGTCCCTCCTCTCGGGCATATCTCTGGCTGATATGCAAATTAGTCTCTTTGGTCAGTGTGCAGTGCCCTAGCTGGTGTGCAGGATGGCCAGTTGAGACCCTGGCCAGTGTCTTGACAAGCAGAACTGGTCACCCTCCCCTGCATGTAGAGGCCACATAAATGCCCCACACTCAGGTGTGCCTCCAAATGCACAGTGGATGCCCCTCAGACCCAGCCACGAGAGCTGTCCTCCAGAGCTGTCTGTCTGGAGCTCTGGGAAACAGGCAGGGCCAGAAGGACACCCAGGAAGCCAGTGAACATTTCCTGGAGAGTCCAGCAAGAGGAGGAGGTATCTGGGATGCTGGTGGATTGAGCAGGAAATGCAGTGTTCTTCTCTATCCCAGGCTCACCCTCCGGGTCCTCCCACACCGAAGAATCTTTGTCAAGTGTGGAGAACTGTGATCCTTCCTGATTCATAACATTCTGTGCTTCCTGTTGCCCCGATTGAGTCCAGGCCCCCAGGCCTGGTTCCCGCAGCCCCCATGGCAGCTCTGCCTGCCTTTCCCGCCTCACCAGCCTATCCTCAAGTGATGGCCCCATTGGTCACAGAGGAGTCCTACCTCTGCCCAGGGTCTAACCCTCCTCCAATCCACTCCACACCTGCATCATCTCCACCACGGCCACCAGGTCAGCCAGTGAGATTTGGTTCCCGGTGATGAACATCTTATCCTGCAGAAAATACTCCTCAAAGAGCTGCAGGCTGTTCTTCACCTCTTCCACTGCATGCTCCATCTTCTCAGCTGAAACTTCCTCCCCTGTTATCTTTGGGATCAGCAACTGGCCAGGGTTGGGAAGAGGAGGGAAGAGGAGGCTGCACTCCAGGGCCACCTGCCCTGCCAGGTCTCTGTACTCTTGTCTGCTGGATAGATATTGAACACTTCCCAGGATATAAAGCAGTTTCACCTCTTTTAGCAGTTCTGATTGGTGGAAGTTGCTGGGAACCATGTGTTCACAAGGATTTGGGGAGCTCAGCAGGCATAAGTCCTGTGATTGATTAGTGATGTCTGTCACAGGCATAGAATTCAAAGTAGAGACACATGTACTGGTTATTTGTCATCTTCTAATTTTCTATAGGCCATACTCTTTTTTGTTTTTGTTTTTTGAGATGGAGTCTCACTCTGTCGCCCAGGCTGGAGTGCAGTGGCACAATCTTGGCTCACTGCCAACTCCAACTCCTGGGTTCAAGCAATTGTCCTGCCTCAGCGTCCTGAGTAGCTGGGATTACAGGTGCCCATCACCACACCCAGCTAATAATTTTGTATTTTTAGTAGAGATGGTGTTTCACAATGTTGGCAAGGTAGGTCTTGAACTCCTGACCTCAAGTGATCTGCCCGCCTCGGCCTCCCAAAGTACTGGGATTACAGTTGTGAGCCACCGTACCCGGCCTTCTGTGGGCCTTTTGACGCTGAGATTCTCTAGTTCAGAATGAAATGCCTCGAATGCTGTCCTGGGTGAGTCACATCAGCCCCTCCCGTATGCCCTTCCCCTCGCCCTAATAAGACTCTTTCATGCCCATTGTTTCAGTCCACACTCCTGACGGCTCTGTAAGGCGGGCAGGAGAAGGAGCTGAGGAAATGAGGCCCAGAGAGGGAGGGAGACTTGCTTGAGGTCGCCGGCAGTCAGCAGGGCCAGAACTGGCCTCCAGCCTTCCTGACTTCCCTGTGCCCGTGTCCCCAAGCCCCAGAAGTGGCCCTGCTCACCTTGAGCCAGACTATCTTCTTCATGGGCAGCTGAAAGGCCGTGTGTTGCCAAGCCACGAACTCATCCACACGGGCACGTGCGTGCAGGTCTGGCGGGCACCAGTGCGATGGTGCGCTGTACTTGCGGCACAGGTAGTAAAGGATGGCCGCGCTGCAGAAGGGGCCGGTCAGGGGCACTGCCCTTGCCTTCCTGAGTGCCACTACGTCAACCACCCCGGTGTGGCCTGGGCCCAACTGCTGGGGCTTCCAGAGCAAAGAGGAGCCCAAACGGCCCCGAGAAAGACCTTCACCAGAGCTGTCTGTCTGACAGTCAGTAAGGGCTGGGAAGGAGCCCTGCGGGGTGAGTAGGAGTTGGGGGCTGGTGGTATAACAAAGAGTAGGCCAGCAGGGGGAACAACACGTGTTGAATTGGGATGCTGAGGTGGGAGGATCACTTGATCCCAGGAATTTGGGGCTACTGTGAGCCAAGATCACACCACTGCACTCCAGCTTGGGTGAAAGATCAAGATCCTTTTTCAAAAACAAAAACGGGGGGGCACGATGGCTCACACCTGTAATCCCGGCACTTTGGGAGGCCAATGGGGGCAGATCCCTTGAGGCCAGGAGTTGGAGACCAGCCTGGCCAACATGGTGAAACCCTGTCTCTACTAAAATGAAAATACAAAAATTAGCTAGTTGTGGTGGCACACACCTGTAATCCCAGCTACTTGGGAAGCTGAGGCACGGGAGTCACTTGAACCTGGGAGGCAGAGGTTGTAGTGAGCCAAGATTGTGCCACTGTACTCCAGCCTGGGCCACAGAGCAAGACTCTGTCTCAAAAAACCAACAAAGAAAAACACATGCTGAAATACGAGGGTAAAGGGAGCAAGGTAAATCTGAAGAAAAGAGAGTAGGGGGTTGCAACTGGAAGAAGGGTGGGGGTGATTGGGGAGTGATGAGGCAGCCAGAGACACTGTGGAGTCCACGTAGGGTAGCCCCTGGAGGTGCAGGGAGGTTATGGACTTAATGCTTAAGATTAGGCATTATATAAGCCAGGGCATGAAAGGATCCATCTCTCTGGTGCTGGATGGAGGGTGAGCCCGAGGGGGCAGAATGGACAATGAGGTGGCGGGCCAGCAACTATCGGGAAGGTTGTGGTGTCTGGGGATGGTGGAGGCCATGGGGACAGAGGGAAGGGGACGGAGGGGAGACATGCTTCGGAGGGGATGTCCTAGGCCTTGCTGATTGATGGCTGGTGTGGGAACCTCCGCAGCACAAGGGCTCCTTTATCATCACCAACAGCAACCATGCCAAGGTAAAAAGGTCAGGGCATGGAGAGAGCTATCGGTTAAAAAGTGGCAGGAGAGACAGCAACTGGCTGCAAGACTCAGAACTTCTTTGGATCCTGATCCAAACAAACTGCCAAGAAAATATTTAGGAGATAATCAGAGAGTTTTGAACAGGAGCCACGTATTAGATGAAATCCAGGAATTACTGTTAATTTTATGAGGTATCTTAATGGTATCGTAGTGATGCTACGCTCTATCCTAGCCCAGGCTGGAGTGCAGTGGCACAATCAGAGTTCACTGCAGTCGTGAACTCCTGGCCTCAAGCGATCCTCCCGTGTCAGCCTCTCAAAGTGCTGGGATTACAGGCATGAGCCACCGCGCCCAGCCTGTTGCTTTTTTTTTTTTTTTTTTTTTTTTTTTAAAGAACGCTTATCTCTAAGAGGTATGTTCCTGAACGTTTATTGATTTATTTACTTACTTATTTTTATTTTTGAGATGGGGTCTCACTCTGTTGCCCAGGCTGAAGCTCAATCTTTGCTCACTGCAACCTCTGCCTCCCGGGCTCCAGCAATCCCTCCACCTCAGCCTCCTGAGTAGCTGGGACTACAGGTGCGGACCACCATGCTGGCTAACTTTTGTATTTTTTGTAGAGATGGGGGTTTTGCCATGTTGTCTAGGCTAGGCTGGTCTTGAACACGTGAGCTCAGGCCATCCCCTCACTTCAGCCTCTCAAAGTGCTAGAATTACAGGCATGAGCTGGCCCCTAAACATTTATGAATGGAATGATGGGGTGTCTGGGAGGCAGGGGAATAGAAATGATGTAAACTGGACCCCAAGTTGGCAAGAGTCAGAGCTGGGCGATGGATTTGTGGGGTTCCTCGTGTCCCTCATTAGTTAGTATTCACTCTCCTTTAGTGCACGTGTGAGATTTTCCATGGTCAAACAGACAAATGCTCGCACTGAACCTCCCAGGAGGAGCAGAGACAGATGGTGCAAGGGCCCCAGGGAAGACTTACCTTTCACTTAAGATAAATTTCCCATCTTTGAGGCTGGGAAGCTTCCTGAGGGGGTTGATGTCAATGTATTCTTTGCTGTGGTGGTGACCTGGGAGGAGCAGGGAAGGTCTGAGGCTGTGGGACTCCAGGGGAGAGAGAACTGAGACTCCCAGAGACACAAACGCCTCCCTCTCTATTTTCTCAAGAAGAGAGGACTGAGGCCCGGAGGGACATGGCGGCTCACCCCAGGTCACAGGGCAAGGCAGTTGCAGAACCGGACTGGGATCAGAACTGCTGGCTCCCAGCCTGCTCCACCCTAGGTTTGGTGACTCCCGTGCCTCCTACCTGTGTCCCAGGACCAGGACGACCCTTTTACCCAGAAGCCGGAGGCCTCCAGTGCCCACCCCCAAAGCTGGATCTGAAAACACAGCCTTTGAATCACCTGAAGCCCTGAGGGCCTGGGTCCCATCCGCAATCCCATCGCTCTCACTCTGTCTCCACTTTAAGGAAGCCAGGCCCAGCACACAGCTGGACATCCAAAGGGAAGCTTCTCGGACACAATCAGGGTCATCTTAACAGGGAACCTGAGGTGGGGGCAGGAACTGAAACTCTTCCTGGACCAGCCGCCTCCAGTTGGAAACATTTCTGGGGGCTCCACTCGCAGCCCGTTCATTTCCACAGCTTCCCTGTCTCTTCCTCTGTGTTCTAGAGGCTTCTGCTTTTGCAGGCTGAGTTTTGGAGTCCCTCTGTGCTCGGGATGGAGTTGGAGCCCACCCCTCTGACCCTCACTCGGGAGCAGTGGAGCCCTGAGCCTTTCTGAACACTGGGGAGGATGGGTGTAGACGGACTGTGCACTTCTGCCCCCTTTGCCAACCTGGTGGGCAGGTGCTGAGTTCACAAGGTCCTAGAATCCCACAACGAAGCCAGGGTGCCTGGTGGGAGCCCAGGGAGTCCCAGCTGCTGTTCATTCCCCCTTCTCCTCAAAAAGCCTGTTCATCTGTGGCGTGGGGACTATCATTAGTGGGGAGTGGCTAAGGTAGGCTAGGCAGGGACGCAGCCTACAAGCCCCGTGGCATCTTTTCCTTCCCTGTGGACCTCTGGGGTGATTCCCTTGTCTCTGTCCCTGCTTCTCAGAAATGCCCCTATCAATCTGAGCGTGGTGGCTCACGCCTGTAATCCCAGCACTTTGGAGGCTGAGGCGGGGCAGATCACTTTTGGTCAGGGGTTCGAGACCAGCCTGGCCAACATGGTGAAACTCCATCTCGACTAAAAATACAAAAAATGAGCCGGGCATGGTGGCGTTTGCCTATAAACCCAGCAACTCGGGAGGCTGAGCTGGGAGAATCACTTGAACCCAGTGGAGATTGCAGTGAGCCAAGATAGCACCACTGCACTCCAGCCTGGGTGACAAAGTGAGGCTCTACCAAAAAGAAAAAGAAAAAAAAAGCTCCAATCTGTGTGTCCTGCCTCCCCCCAGGACCAGGCCTGCCAGGCAGCAGTGGGAGCTGACCTTTCAGCAGATCCACAAACTGAAAGTTGAACTGGATGTCATGCTTCTTCGAGAAGATGTAGACGGCACGGCAGGGTGCTGACAGCAGGTCCATGTAGAGCTCCAGGGCCATGTTGAGACACATGCCAGGCCCCACAGCTGCAGCTGGCCAGCCACAGACCTGGGCCTATGTCTGGCCAGAGTCCCTGGCCCTGTGCCCTCTCCGATCTGGGCCCAGGACCCTGCATTCTGGAACCTCTTGTTTCCCTTTGTGTTGTCATAAGGCCAGGAAGCCTGCAATTCTCACAGCATCAAGGATTCTAAGGAGGCCCAGGAGTAGGCTGGCAGAGGCCCGTGGCAAAGGTGTGGCAGCCGTGACCCTACTCTCCCCCTCTCACGTGTGTCTGTGTCCCGTGGCGCCACCTCACAGACACCCTGTCTGAGAAGGGATTATGCCTGGGAATTCCCAGGGCCGGACTTTGATTGCAGAACCTGACGAAAGGGGCTTTGCAGGGTCCAGAATGAGGAGGAGGCAATGAGAATTATCCCTGGAGGATTCTAGAAGTAGAGGCTGGGAGCATCCACAGGTGAATGGAGCCTGAACTATGACTAGAAAGGAATTGGGAGAAAGAGACACAGGAACCTGGGAGCTTCGGGAGCAGTGGGGACACCACCACCAGGAAGTCAGGGGGCACTCGGCAATGAAAGTGGCAGATGCAATAAAACTTTTAACATATTGTTGTATAATGTACAATAATGTAATAAAAATACACCCCCTATACATTATTGTTCCAACTCTAGCTCTATCTATTGCCCTCCTCATATGAATCCCTCTCCCCATACCCCATTCTCTAGTTAATCTTAACTAGGCCTCCTGTTTATATTAGCCACATCAAGCCTAGCTGTCTACTCTATCCTGTGATCAGGATGAGCATCTAATTTGAAATATGCACTCATCGGTGCACTATGTACAGTGGCCCAAACAGTCTCATATGAAGTCACTCTAGCTATTATCCTCCTATCAGTCCTATTAATAAGTGGTTCATTTAATTTGTATATACTCATTGGAACAGAAGAATTTCTCTGGCTGCTCCTACCATCATGACCTCTGGCCATAATATGACTTATTTCCACACTAGCAGAAACCAGCCGAGCCTCTTTAGACCTAACAGAGGGGGAATCAGAATTAATCTCGGGCTTTAACGTCGAATATGCTGCAGGCCCATTTGCCCTGTTCTTTATAGCAGACTATATAAATATCATTATAATAAATGCCCTGAAGGCCGCAAGAGGTTCGTGGGTGCAGTGCACAGGAGACCATATCTGGGGACAGCAGCTGCAGCAGACCCCAAGCTGGGCCATCCCTGCCACTTGCCAGGTGGTGCTTGGCGAAGGCAAGCAGCTCCCACCCGCCCGGGGAATACAGCGCGACCCCCGGCGGCATGCTCTTCAGCACCACCCCAGGAGGTACCAGGATCATCTACCACTGGAAATTCCTGATGGAGTGTTGAAACTTACCCGTGACCAAAACACTCCCAAGGGATCTGCCCACCATTCCCGGGGTCACCAGCCCTGCCAGTGATGATCCCCCCAACGGAAGCCAGCCAGAGCCACCTGAGCAATAGTCCAGAAGATAAGCAGGGCGGGCAGTGAAGAAGCACAGTTTTGAGATGGACATTTAAAGCACCAGCCATCGCATGGAGCACTGCCAAGGGACCCCTCAGGCCCTTCCTGGAGGAGTCCCACCAGCCAGGCCTTATGAAAGTGATCATACTAGGCAGGCATTGGTGTGGGGCCAGTCACCCCAGCCCTCTCTCCCTCACTCGCGGCACCTGCCCCCTCCTCTTTGTGAACACCAGCAGGTACCTCCTTGTGCCTCCGCTGATGCAGGAGCAGCTGCCCCAAGGGGAGTAACCCCTGCCAGCACACCCTGCAGCTGAGGGCCAGGAAGTGGACAAGAATGAACCCTTTCTTCCAAATGATCAGCTCTTCCAGCCCCTGCTGGGGGCCCCACGACCCCTTCCTTAGGTTGACGTGCCTGGGAAAGCTCACCTCCCCCTCTTCCCTAAGAGAGGAAATAAAAGCCACCTTCGCCCTAGGGCAAAAAATAAATAAATAATAAATCCCGTAATCACTATTGTCTTCCTAGGAGCACTGCATAACATATATATACCAGAACTCTATACCACAAATTTCGTCACCCAAACTCTCATTTTAACAAGTCTTTTTTTATGAATTCGAACATCATATTCCTGATTCCATTATGATCAGCTCATATATCTCCTTGAAAAAATTTTCTACCACTCACACTAGTACTTTCATATGACATATCTTCATGCCAGTCCTAACCTCCAGCATCCCACCCCAAACATAAGAAATATGTCTCACAAAAGAGTTACTTTGATAGAATAAATTACAGAGGTTTAAACCCTTTTGTTTCTAGAATTACAGGAATTGAACCTACCCATGAGAATCCAAAATTCTCCGTGCTACATAATACACCACATCCTATCACACCCCACAGTAAGGACAGCTAAGTAAGCTATTGGGCCCATACCCTGAAAATGTTGGTTATACCCTTCCTATACTAATTAATCCTCCAGTGTATGCCATGCAGAGGAGCCCAGAAACTTCCTGGCCTGGGTTGGGGCTGCAGTGGCCAGACTGTGCACCTGGTGGCCCAGGAAGGTAACTAGAGCCCCACGTAGAGGACTGAGTGCCACTCACTCTATGCTTTGTGATTTAATAGGTCTAGGCTCAGAAATGGGACTGATCCCACTTCCAGTGACAGAGTAAGCCTGGAGACAAGCGAAGAGCATGCAGTGTGTTTATTGCAGACAGCAGGGTGCAGTGCAGTGGGCTGTACCCACTCAGTGGAGCCACTCCTGCAGCAACTGCACCTGCTTCTGGGCCAGCTGGGGGTCCTGCCGAGCCTCACTGTGGTTCAGAGGCTGGAGTATGAGCTTGTGGGCCTCCAGGAAGAGCTCAGTACCAAGGGCAGCCTTCATATGGGCCTGTCACACTGCCAGCCAGGGCCAGTCTTGGAAGAGGTCGCAGCCAACGGCAGTGGGCTGGGAAGACAGGGCAGCTGGGGTTGGGGCTCAGCCCCATGCCCAGAGTCCCCCCGAGGGCAGGTGGGTAGGAAAGCTTCACCTGCATCACCTCCGTCAGCACCAAGTCTTCCAGGGAGATCTGCTCCATTGCCAGGAAGGGCCTGGCCACCAGGACCCCCCCATCCAGGTGCTGCAGGGCTGGCGTCAGCCTCCCCAACAGCCGCTCCAGCTGTGCAGCATCTGCAGGCTGTCTGGAGAAGTGGGGCAGGAGAGACTGGGCTGTGAGGAGAGGAGCAACTTAACCCAGACTCTTGGAAGCCTCTTGGGCCTCCTCTCCATCCCTTCCCGGCTGCCATTCATTAGTGATGTCCTCTGGGGCTCTGTGTTCAGAAGGTTTCTAAGGATTCATTCAGGCTTAGGGGAAGGAGTACTGTGATAGATTAGTTATGTCTGCTGAGGACAGTGGAAGTGAAGCTAATATGTAATATGTACCAACTGGTACCTTCCATCTCTGGGGGTCCAGGCCCCTGCCCCAGCCTGCATGACAGGGCCTAGGAAGCTCACCTTGCACAGGTAGACATTGGTGGCAGGCAGCTGGATGGTGACATGCTTCCACGCCAAGTACTCATCCACGCAGGTGCGGGCTTGCAGCTCAGGTGGGTACCAGTGTCCCCGTATCTGGTACTTTCGACTCAGGTATAAAACGATGACCATGCTGTGGGCAGGGGGTGTCAGAGATCTTTTCTCCAGCCTGTCAGGGCCAGGTGGCTTCATTGCTCATACTCAGGGTGATTTGACCAGGTTTTCTCCCCACCTTCACCTTCAGGGGAGGACCTCCCCTATACTGCAACTCCCTCCAGGCAGTATCTCCCCACGACCAAACCACTCTGTTTCTCCATTTCCAACTCTGATCCTCCCTGGGCCCATGTTTCCACCTCCCCTCCCAGTTACCATACCATCCTGCCCTCTGTGCCCAGGCCCCACTCCCTGGCATCAGGGTCCCCACTCAGAGTGCCTGCCGTGTGGGCCCTGCCCAAAAGGTCTCCAAGTTCCCTTCCTAGTGCCCCAGAACACTAGGTGCCCATTTTCTATCCTCAGGTAAGCCCTGGGAGGTGGATACATTATTCCTCCCACTCCGTTTTACAGAGGAGAAACCTGGCACACAAAGTTCTGTGATTTCCCCAAGGGCATGGATTGAGGAAGTGGTGAGCTGGGATTGAATGTGGAGTCTCCCCTGGGTCTGCCCAGCTCCTAGGACTCTGAAAGGATGAGCTGGGGACATTTGGGGAGGAGCCAGCCTCAAGCCTGGGCCTTGCCCGCTGGCTTCAGGTTGTCCAGGTTTATCTGGGTGACCTACGTCCTTTCCCCATCTGGGCAGCTCCAGCTGGCTTAGACTCTAGCCAGGTTCCAGCCTCCAGCTTTAGCCCAAAGGTGCCCCTGGGTCCAGCCTCTGCATCGGAGCTACACAGGCTGAAATGAGGAAGGGGCCACAGTGATTTGGAAAGATCTCCAACCCAAGGAAAGATCTCCCCTCTCGCCTCTGCCTCCCCCTACAACTCTGAGCCCCAGAACCCAGGCAGATCCTGGCTCTGACCCTGGGTGGGCACCAGGTCACCATTACCTCTCTGCTAGTAGGAAGTCGCCATCTCTGAGGGCAGGCACCTTCCCCAGGGGGTTCACCTTCAGGAACTCAGGCTTCAGGTGCTCCCCTGGTGGGCAGAAAGGAGAGAAGGCTCAGTGCAGGGCCTGGTCCTTGGCACCCACTCCATGGGGCCCAGCCCAGCCACCTGGCTCACCCCAAGCCAACTCCACTGTCTGCAGCTGAAAAGGGATGTCATTCTGCCTGGCAAAAGTGGATAGCATGGCAGGGGGCTGAGTGCATGTCCAGGAACAGCTTGGGCCCCATTGCTGCTCCTCCCACCTGCCCTCCCCAGAGGTCTGTACCTCCAGGAGTTGCTCAGCCCTTCTCGGCCAGTGCCTTCCCCCAAAATGGGGCCAGAACTCTGTACTCCTCCTGAAGCCTATTCCCTCCATGACTGGCTGGGAGGCCTGCCAAGCCCCTCTCCCCTTTTCTCCACCTCTGTAGAGTGGAGGCAGGGGTGGCCAGTGTCCCTTTGGGGGTTTCAGATAGAAACTCAATGACAATTGGCTTAGCAAAAACAAACAAACAAAAAAAAAACAACAAAAAAAAAACAAAGGGAGTGGGGTGGGTGGGGAGATTTCTCAGAAAACTTCTCCAGTCATAGGAGGGGAGGGGTGTAGAAGCCACTAAGAGAACTGGAATCAGAACCTGTTTCTGTCTCCCCACTTTTCCTCCCCTCTCCTCCTCTCCCCTCCTTCCCCTCCTGTCCCCTCCCCTCCTCTCCCCTCCCCTCCCTTCCCTTTCCTTCCTTCCCTTCCTCCTTTCCTCCCTTCTTTCTTTGAGACAGGATCTCTGTCTCCCTACACTTTTTTCTTTTAATTCTCTGTCTCTTTCTTGACATAGAATCTTGCTCTGTCACCCAGCCTGGAGTTCAGTGGCACGATCATGGCTTACTGCAATCTCCAAGTCCTGTGCTCCAGCAGTCATTCCACTACAGCCTCTGGAGTACCTAGGACTACAGGTGCACATGACCATACCCCACTAGTTAAAAAAAACAAAAACAAAAACAAAAAAACCCTTGGGCCTGGCAGGGCGGCTCGTGCCTACAATCCCAGCCCTTTGGGAGGCCAAGATGGGCTGATCACATGAGCCCAGGACATCAAGACGAGCCTGGGCAACGTGCCGAAACCCAGTCTCTACAAAAAATACAAAAATTAGCTGGGCATGGTGGCGCATGCCTGTAGTCCCAGCTACTCAAGAGACTGAGGTGGCAGGATCACTTGAGCCCAGGAGGCAGAGGTTGCAGTGAGCCAAGATCACGCCACTGCGCTCCAGCCTAGGCAACAGAGCCAGACTCTGTCTCAAAAAAAAAAAAAAGAGAGAGAGACAGATAGGGTCTCACTATGTTGTCCAAGCTGATCACAAACTCCTGGCCTAAAGTGATCCTTGGGTCTCAGCCTCCCGAGCTGATTAGCTGGGATTGCAGGTGTGGGCTACCACGCCCTGTTATCACTCCCTTTCTCTGAGTCAGCTTTTCTCTCTCAGACTAGCCTACTCCATGAACTCAGGAAATGTCACTACAGGTGGCCCCAGCTCCCATTTACCTCCCCATAGGGAGCTCCTCTCTCCAGTTCCAATTTCAAAACTCCCAAGGAAGCATTCTGGTTCACTCGCTTGGGCCACTGGCCAGAGGGATGGGATACTCTGAAAGATTCAGCTAGAGTCCCGGGCCCAGCCCTGGACCATCACTGTGCACCCTGGTTAGATGCCAGGGCTGGGATTCAGGGAGAAGAAAGGAGGTTCCCGGACAGTCATTCCTGCCTCCTGCGGCTGCGGGCTCCCTGCACAGTCATTCCTGCCTCCTGCGGCTGCGGGCTCCCTGCCCCCATCCTGTGCACGAAGTGGGAGCTCCCGCTGTCTGGCAGCAGCTGCTCTGCAGGGGACAGTCTGGACGGCAGAAAGTTCATCCTTAACCCCAGCCTTCCAGTCAAGGTTCCCACAAGTCTGGGACACCTGCAAGTGTCATATCCCGCTGGGTGAAAGTCTGAGATCCCTTTTAGAGGATCCCATTCGCTCCCTCCCTTCTGCCACCTTCCAGCTCCGAGAAACAGAGCTCTGAACGAACCCTCAGATGTCCATGCGCTGGGGCCTTTCCAGGACGGCGGGGCGCAGTCCTTTCTGGGTTGGGGTGACACCTGGAAACATGTAAGGTCCCTGGCACAGGGACCCCTCCCAGTTTCAAGCGATTCTCCTGCCTCAGTCTCCCGAGTAGCTGGGATTACAGGCGCCCACCACTGCACCCAGCTAATTTTTTGTGTTTTTAGTAGAGATGGGGTTTCACCGTGTTAGCCAGGATGGTCGCGATCTCCTGACCTCGTGACTAGCCCGCCTCAGCCTCCCAAAGTGCTGGGATTACAGGCGTGAGCCACCATGCAGGGCCAATTTTTGTATTTTCAGTAGAGACAGGGTTTTACCATATTGGACAGGTTGGTCTCGAACTCCTGACCTCAGGTGATCTGCCTGCATTGGCCTCCCAAAGTGCTGGGATTACAGGCGTGAGCCACCAAGCCTGGTGGTAATTTATAAGGGGTGGACATTTGTTGGCTCATGGTCCTGAAGGCTGGAAAGTCCAAGATCGAGGGGCCAGCATCTGGCCAGAGCTTTCTTGCTGTATCATCCCCTGGTGAAAGGATAAAGAGAGGGTAAGAGAGAGCAAGAGGCTGAACTCACAGCCTCAAAGTCCTTTTATAATCCACATCAATCCATCTGTAACGGTGGAGGCCTCATGAGATAAACACCTCTCATTAGGCCCCACCTCCCAACACTGTTGCATTGGGGATTACATTTCCAACACATGCTTTGTGGGGGACCCATTCAAACCACAGCACAGGGACACCTTCTCTTTCCTTCCTGTGATATGCTGAATAATGACCCCTAAGGATATACAAGTCCTGATCTCTGGAACCTGTGAATATTACCTTCTGTGGCAAAAGGGACTTTGCAGAATTGATTAAGAATGTTGAGATGGAGGCATTGTCTTGGATTATCTGAGTGAGCCCTAAATGCAGTCACAAGTATCTGTGTAAGAGGAGACAGACGGAGATTTGAAACAGAAGACAGGAGAAGATGGAAGCAGAGAGATTTGAAGATGCTACATTGTGGGCTTTGAAGATGGAAGAAGGGGCTACATGACCCAAGACAGGCAGCTCCAAAAGCTGGAAAAATTGAGGAAACCAATTCCCCTCTCAGAGCCTCTGGAGGGTGTGCAACCCTATTGGCACCTGGGTTTTGGCCCAGAGAAATAGATTATAAAGTTCTGGTCTCCATAACTGTAAGAGAATAGATTTATGTTGTTTTAAGCCACCAAGGTGGTGGTAATTTGTTATACCATCCAGAGGAGAGGAACACAGATTTTGGTGCCAGGAAGCAGGGTGCTGCTATAAAAAAGAAAATCTAGGCTGGGCACAGTGGCTCATGTCTGTAATTTCAACATTTTCGGATGCCAAGGTGGGTGGATTACTTGAGCCCTGGAGTTTGAGACTAGCCTGGGCAACATGGCAAAACCCCGTCTCTACTAAAAATATATAAATTAGCTGGGGATGGGCCGGGAGCAGTGGCTCACGCCTATAATCCCAGCACTTTGGGTGGCAAAGGCAGGCGGATCACGAGGTCAGAAGGTTGAGACCATCCTGGCGAACATGGTGAAACCCAGTCTCTACTAAAAATACAAAAAATTAACCAGGCGTGGTGGCGGGTGCCTGTTGTCCCAGCTACTCAGGAGGCTGAGGTAGCAGAATGGCATGAACCCAGGAGGCGGAGCTTGCAGAGAGCCAAGATCGTGCCACTGCACTCCAGCCTGGGGAACAAAGCGCGACTCCGTCTCAAAAAAAAAAAAAATTAGTTGGGGATGGTAGTGCATGCTTGTAGTCCCAGCTACTGGGGAGACCGAGGTGGGAGGATTGCTTGAGGCTGGGAAGTCTAGGCTGCAGTGACCTGTGACTGTGACACTGCACTCCAGCCTGGGCAACAGAGTCAGACCCTGTCTCAAACAAACAAACAAACAAAAATCTAAAAATGTGGAAGTAGCTTTAAATTTGGGTGATGTGCAGAGGCCAGAAAAATTATGAGGCCCATGATAGAGAAAACCTAGATTGCCTTGCACAGATTGTTGGTAGAAATATGGATGTTAAAGACTATAGGGAGGGCTCACGAGTATCAACTAAACATGGTCAGAGCAAGTCTACATTGCCTTACAGCATACCTAAGTCATCATAGGCAGCTGTAGGTAGATATATAGATATTGGCTGGGTGCAGTGGCTCACGCCTGTAATGCCAGCACTTTGGGAGGCTGAGGTGGGTGGATCACCTGAGGTCAGGAGTTCAAACCAGCCTGGCCAACATAGTGAAACCCCGTCTCTACTAAAAATACAAAAATTAGCTAGGCGTGGTGGCATCCCAGCTACTAGGGAGGCGGAAGCAGGAGAATTGCTCGAACCTGGGAGACGGAGGTTGCAGTGAGCCAAGATTGCGCCACTATACTCCATCCTGGGCGACCAAGCGAGAATCTGCCTCAAAAAAAGAAAAAATAGATATTAAAAATCCTGCTGCTGAGGACTCTGAAGAAATGAGGAACGTGTTTCTGGAAACTGGAGGAAGGAGGATCATTTCCCAGAAAAGGAGCCCGTAGGGAGGTAGAAAGCTTAGTTGAATTGTGTCCGATAGTTATATGGTGGGTGAACTTAAAGCAACGAAGTTGGATATTTAGCTGAGGAGACTTCCAAGCAAAGCGTTGAAGGTGAAGCCTCATTTCTTCTTGCTGTTTATGGTGAAAAGCAAGAGGAAAGTGATAAAATGAGGAAAAAGCTGTTAAGCAAAAAGAAACCAAGGTTTGATGATTTGGGAAATTATCAGCCTGTGCAGATTGCAAAAGATGCTAAAATTAGAAGATTCGCTGTTTGGAAAACACAACTCTATCCCTGTCCTGGGGATCACTCAAGACTTGTATCCATAGACAACCAGATTTCTATGGGCTTGAACTCTGTGTGTGTGTGTGTGTGTGTGTGTGTGTGTGTGTGTGTGTGTGTGTGTGTGTGTGTAGCAAGGTTGGGGGAGCACAGTGGAAAGACCTTGAATTTATTTGTTTATTTTTTAGACGGAGTCTTGCTCTGTCGCCCAGGCTGGAGTGCAATGGCACGATCTCAGCTCACTGCAACCTCCACCTCCAGGGTGGTTCGAGCGATTCTCCTGCCTCAGCCTCCCGAGTAGCTGGGACTACAGGCGTATACCACTATGCCCAGCTAATTTTTGTATTGTTAGTAGAGATGGGGTTTCACCATGTTGGTCAGGCTGGCCTCAAATTCCTGACCTCAGGTGATCAGGCTGGTCTCAAACTCCTGACATCAGGAGATCCACCAGCCTCGGCCTTCCAAGGTGCTGGGATTACAGGCATGAGCCACCATGCCCAGCCTTATTATTTATTTATTTATTTTTGAGACAAAGTCTCCCTCTGTCACCCAGACTGGAGTGCAGTGGCGCAATCTCTGCTCACTGCAACCTCTGTCTCCCAGGTTCAAGTGATTCTCCCAGCTCAACCTCTCAAGTAGCTGGGACTACAGGTGCGCACCACCATGACCTGCTAATTTTTGTATTTTTATTTATTTATGTATTATTTTATTTTATTTTTCCATAAGTTATTGGGGTATGGGTGGTATTTGGTTACATGAGTAAGTTCTTTTGTAGCAATTTGTGAGATTTTGGTGCACCTGTCACCCCAGCAGTATACACTGCACCATATTTGTAGTCTTTTATCCCTCACCCTCCTCCCACTCTTCCCCTCAAGTCCCCAAAGTCCATTCTTATGCCTTTGCGTCCTCATAGCTTAGCTCCCACATATCAGTGAAAACATAAGATGTTTGGTTTTCCATTCCTCAGTTACTTCACTTAGAATAATAGTCTCCAAACTCATCCAGGTCACTGCAAATGCTGTTAATTAATTCCTTTTCATGACTGAGTAGTATTCCACATATACATATTCCATATATATTCATTCCATATATATATTCCATATATGCTCATTCCATATACATATTCCATATATGCTCATTCCATATACATATTCCATATATACTCATTCCATATACGTATTCCATACGTATGTACTCCATATACGTATTCCATACGTATGTACTCCATATACGTATTCCATGTATGTATTCCATACGTATGTATTCCATGTATGTATTCCATGTATATTTTCCATATGTATATATTCCATGTATATATTCCATATGTATATATTCCATATATATTCCTTATGTATATATTCTGTATGTATATACTCCATGTATATATTCCGTATATCTATATTCCATATATGTATTCCGTATGTATATATTCCATATGTACTCCATATGTATTCCATATGTTCCATATATATTCCATATATTCCATATAAATTCCATATATTCCATATATATCCCATATACATTCCATATATTCCACATATATTCCATATACATTCCATATATTCCACATATATTCCGTATATTCCATATAGATTCCATACATTTATTCCATATATATTCCATATAGATTCCATATATATTCAGATATATTCCATATTTATATTCCATATATGGAATATATATGTATTCCATATATATGTATTCCGTATATGTATGTATTCCACATATATATTCCATATATGTATGTATTCCACATATATATTCCATATACGTATATTCCAGATATATACTCCATATGTATATCCCAGATATATATATTCCAGATGTATATATTCCACATATATATTCCAGATGTATATATTCCATGTGTGTATATTCCATATATGTATATTCCATGTGTGTATATTCCATGTGTATTCCATATATATATTCCATGTGTGTATTCCATATATATAGTCCATGTGTGTATTCCCTATATATATTCCCTATATATATATTCCCTATATATATTCCCCATGTACATTCCATATATATATTCCCCATGTACATTCCATATATATTCCCCATATATATTCCATATATATTCCCCATATATATTCCATATATATATTCCCCATATATATTCCATATATATATTCCCCATATATATTCCATATATATATTCCCCATATATATTCCATATATATATTCCCTATATATATATTCCCTATATATATTCCCTATATATTCCATATATATATATATATATATATATATATATACACCCTATATATATATTCCCTATATATTCCATATATATATGGAGTCTCGCTCTGTTGCCCAGGCTGGAGTGCAGTGGCGCGATCTCTGCTCATTGCAAGCTCCACCTCCCAGGTTCACGCCATTCTCCTGCCTCAGCCTCCTGAGTAGCTGGGACTACAGGTGCCAGCCACCATGCCCAGCTAATTTTGTTTTCGTATTTGTAGTAGAGACGGGGTTTCACCATGTTAGATAGGATGGTCTCGATCTCCCGACCTCGTGATCCGCCCACCTCGGCCTCCCAAAGTGCTAGGATTACAGGCTTGAGCCTCCGCGCCCGGCCTCTGAATTCTTTTTCAGGTAAATCAGGGATTTCTTCTTGGTTTGGATCCGTTGCTGGTGAACTAGTGTGATATTTGGGGGTGTTGACGACCCTTGTTTTGTCATGTTACCACAGTTGGTTTTCTGGTTCCTTCTCATTGGGGTAGGCTCTGTCAGAGGGAAGGTATAGGGCTGAAGGTTGTTGTTAAGATTTTTTTTGTCCCAGGGCTATTCCCTTGATGTAGTCTCTCCCCCTTTTCCTGTGGATGTGGCTTCCTGTGAGCCAAACTGCAGTGATTGTTGTTTCTCTTCTGGGTCTAGCTGCCCAGTGAGTCTAGTCAGCTCCAGGCTGGTACTGGGGGTTGTCTGCACAGAGTCCTGTGATGTGAACCGTCTATGGGTCTCTCAGCCATGGATACCAGCACCTATTCTGGTGGAGGCGGCGGACGGTGCAGTGCACTCCGTGAGCTTTGGTGGTTTAATGCTCTATTTTTGTGCTGGTTGGCCTCCTGCCAGGAGGTGGCTCTCTCCAGAAAGCATCAACTGTAGTAGTGTGGAGAGGGGCCAGTGGTGGGTGGGGCCCTAGGACTCCCAAGATTATGCGTCCTTTGTCTACCACTACTAGGGTGGGTAGGAAAGGACCCTCAGGTGAGGACGGTGCTAGGCATGTCTGAGATCAGACTCTTCTTGGGCAGGTGTTGCTGTAGCTGCTGTGGAGGATGGGGGTGAGATGCCCAGGTCATTGGAGTTGTGTGCCTAGGAGAATTATGGCTGCCTCTGCTGAGTCATGCAGGTTGTCAGGGAAGTGGGGGAAAGCCGGAAGTCACAGGCCTCATCCAGCTCCCATGCAAACTGAAGGGGCGGTCTCACTCCCACCATGTCCTGCAAACAGCCCTCCATCTGGAAACAGCAAACAGTGTGTTTCCAGATGGAGGGCCAGACGAATTGAAAACTTGCCTGAGGCTTTCCACCTCCCAGCTGCCAAAGAAAAGGGCTTTAGTTCTTCCTCCGCCTGTGAAATCTGCAAGCCAGATTCACACCCTCCCCTGGGTTCTGGCCCAGAGGCTTCTCACCCCATTCAAATTGTTACAAAGTTCAGCTAGAGAATTCCTTCTCCCTGTGGAGCTGTGGAGTTTTACCCCTTGCTTTCTGGCCACCCTCCTGATGGATCCCTGTGGTGCCAGGCAGGAATGGGCTGCTTGGGGATCCAGTGAGCTCCCAGGGCCTTTCTGCTGCTTCCTCTGACCCTGTATTTTGCTCGGCTGAGTTTTGTAACTTGACTCAGCTCCAGGAAAAGTCGGAAACTTCTTCCACAAACAGGCCTTCAGCTTCTCCAGTGGGGGTGTGTGCTCAGGAGAAGCGGGTCTCCCTTTCCCACTTCCACAGCTGGGGCACTCACAGTATTTGGGGTGTCTCCTGGGCCCTACAGGAGCAAGTCTGCTTCCTTCAGAGGGTCTGTGGATCCTCTCAGGATTGCTGGTTTGTTCTTTCAGTGGATCTGCAGCTAAAATTCACAATGCAAGCCTCCACATGCTGCTCTGTCCGGAGCTGCAATCTGGCTATGCCTCCCGTCTGCCATGATCCCGAAATCCCTCTCCAATTTTTATATTTTTAGTAGAGTTGGGGTTTTGCCATGTTGGCCAGGCTGGTATTGAACTTCTGACCTCAAGTTATCTGCCCATCTCGGCCTCCCAAAGTGTTGGTGTACCAGGACAAGCTGCAGACAAAACCTCTGAGACACCAAGTTAAAGAAGGAAGGGCTTTATTCGGCCGGGAACTTCAGCAAGACTCACGTCTCCAACAACCGAGCTCCCTGAGTGAGCAATTCTTGTCCCTTTTAAGGGCTTACAATTCTAAGGGGTCTGTGTGAGAGGGTCATGATCAATTGAGCAAGCAGGGGGTACACGACTGGGGGCTGCATGCACCAGTAATTAGAATGGAACAGAACAGGACAGGGATTTTCACAATGCTTTTCCATACAATGTCTGGAGTCTATAGATAACATAACTGGTTAGGTCAGGGGTGGATCTTTAACCAAGCCCAAGGTGCAGCGCCGGGCTGTCTGCCTGTGGATTTCATTTCTGCCTTTTAGTTTTTACCTCTTTCTTTGGAAGCAGAAATTGGGCATAAGACAATATGAGGGGTGGTCTCCTACCTTATTGGGGTTACAGGCATGAGCCACCGTGCCCAGCCAAGACCCTGAATTTAAATCCTGACTCTGTCATTCATTAGCTCCTGACCTCAAGTATGCCATTAACTACTTTGAATCCTGGTATCCTTGCTGTCAAAGGAGATGAGAGTTCTGACACTTATAGGTCCACTGTAAGACATAATTTTTAAAATATCTGTAAAAACTGGGCCGGGCATGGTGGCTCATACCTGTAATCCCAATACTTTGGGAGGTCAAGGAAGGCAGATTGCTTGAGCCCAGGAGTTTGAGACCAGCCTGGGCAACATGATGAAACCCCGTCTTTACCAAAAATTCAAAAAAATTTAGCTAGGCATTGGCACGTGTCTGTTAGTCCCATCTGCTCGGGAGGCTGAAGTGGGAGGATCACTGGAGCCCAGGAGGCAGAGGTTGCAGTGAGCCGAGATTGTGCCACTGCACTCCAGCCTGGCAGAGTGAGACCCTGTCTCTACAAAAATGTAAAATAAACTTAAAAAATGTCAAAGCATGATAAAGTACAGGACATAAAGACCATGATTAATCTAACACCCATCACTACAATCTTTGCCTCTGTTCTGGCATTCCCCTATGTGTCTTCGCATCACCCTCCTTCTGGGTGACTCCTTTATGTTGTATTTTTTTGTTTGGTTTGGTTTTTTTGGTTAGTTTGTTCTGAGACAGAGTCTTGCTCTGTTGCTCAGGCTGGAGTGTAGTGGTGTGATCTTGGCTCACTGCTACCTCTGCCTCCCAAGTTTGTACCTCAGCCTCCCGAGTAGTTGGGATTACAGGCATGCGCCACCATGCCCTGCTAATTTTTGTATTTTTAGTAGAGACGGGGTTTTGCCATGTTGGCCAGGCTGGTCTCAGACTCCTGGCTCAAGTGACCTGCCCACCTCAGCCTCCTAAAGTGTTGGGACTACAGGCATGAGCCACCACGCCCGGCCACCCCACTCATTTTGAATGTAAGTAGATTACCAATTCTGAAATGGGTTTTGAGCAGTAGCAACATTGACACAAATTTATAATATTTTCAAGAAGATACTTCCTTCAATATGTAAAATGCAACAGATATCATTTGCAATCATACATATGTACATATATACATACACACATATAATATATATATCTCACCATGGAATAAGTCTGAGCTGAAACATGCATTACTTAAAAAAGAAAACACTTACAGACAGGATCTTGCTCCGTCATCCAGGCTGAAGTACAGTGGCACGATTGTGGCTCACTGCAGCCTCGACCTCCTGGGCTCAAGTGATCCTCCCACCTCAGCCTCCCAAGTAGCTGGGACTACAGGCATGAGCTACCTCGCCTGGCCTGCATGATCTTTATGAAGAATGTCATAGAAAGTTTTTGAAAGCGATTAAAGTTCACCTAAACAAGCAGGGATCTATGCTGTATGCCATGCTATTATTGGGGAGGAAAAAAATTCTCCTCTACATTCTTAGGGTCTCTGGAGATCTGGAACTAAGAATAAAACTGAAATAAGACAGATTAACAGAAGAAAATCATTCAAGTTTTGCTAAATTTTCAGTGTACATGGGTACTTTCACAAGAGAATGAAGGCCTAAAGAAGTCACTAAAGTAGAAAAACAATACCTTTTTTTTTTTTTTTTTTAAGACAAGGACGGGTGCGGTGGCTCATGCCTATAATCCCAGCACTTTGGGAGGCCAAGGCGGGCAGATCACAAGGTCAGGAGATTGAGACCATCCTGGCCAACATGGTGAAACCCCATCTCTACTAAAAATACAAAAAAATTAGCCAGGTGCGGTGGCGGGCACCTGTAGTCCCAGCTACTCAGGAGGCTGAGGCAGGAGAATGGCATGAATCCTGGAGGCGGAGCTTGCAGTGAGCGGAGATCGCACCACTGCACTCCAGCCTGGGTGACAGAGCAAGACTCTGCCTCAAAAAAAAAAAATGACAAGACAAAGCGGCTTGGATTATAGGGAGTAAATTGTGGAGAAGGGACTAGGACATACATGCGGAGCAAAATTAGAAGATAAGGATTATTTTTAGTCGTGTGTTTATACAGATCCATTGGAACCTTGATTCACAGTCACTTGTGATGACAATGTTCTTCTCTTCCTGGTAAAGGGAGGGTGCTTTCTTATGGGAAATTGTGTGGCCTATTCTTAGATAGAAAAGGGCAGGTCAGAGAGTCTTTCCTGCATGTGCTATTTCTCAAGTGCCTTCAACTCAAAATAATTAATACTCCAAAGCAGCATATTTGGGGTGACGTGTTTTTAATTCCTTCATTTCCCCTGCTGCAGACTTTCCTAGAAGTTTCAGATATTAAAAGCTGAGTTGGTGGCTATGGAGATAAGAGCCAGATTCATAACGAGGGATCTACAAATGGGGAGAAGAACATAGATAAGAATAGGAATGAATAAGCTGAAAGGAACAGGTCTGAGCACATTTCCCCTTATCCTGTTAAACACACATCCCATTGCTGGGACAAGGTCAGTACAGCAGAAGGAATGCACCTCTTTTGTTTGATGGAGAGTGTTTAGCTTGTTCTTTAACAGGTGCAGCTTAGGCACTATTTGTCCCAGTGGATTTACACAGACCAGCCTTATCCACCAATGATCACACAAACTCCTCCTTTTGAGGCTGTCAGTGTGTCCAGGGTGCAACAATTTTGGAATACAGCAGAAGCTAAGCTATTAACTTCTTTTGTTGTGGTTGCTGTTGTTGTTTTGAGACAGAATCTCACTTTGTTGAGTGCAGGCTGGAGTGCAGTGGTGCGATCATGGCTTGCTGCATCCCCAGCCTCCTGGGCTCAAGTGATCCTCCCACCTCAGCCCCCAGAGTAGCTGGAACTACTACTATGCCCTACTAATTTTTAAACTTTTTGTAGAGACAGTCTCACTATGCTGCCCAGGCTGGCCTCGAACTTCTGGGCTCAAGTGATCCTCCCTCCTCAGACTTTCAAAGTGCTGGGATTAGAGGCCTCAGCCACCATGCCCAGATTGCTTTGACATCTTGAGGCCTTACTGATCCAGGAGAGACTGCCCCTCCCTGGGCCAGCTAATTCCTACAGAGAATAAATGATTTGCTTATGGTGTGCCTTCGATGGGCCAATCAACCGATTCGTATCTCCAACATAACTTTACCAGCCACCTTTCAGCAGGTTCCTGCCCCAAATCACTCCAGGGACAGGTACCAGGTAACAAAGGACCACTCCTATAACCCAGAGCCCATCACAATTATTAAAACTAGCCAGTCCTAAGTCTGTTTACCCTGTCTTGCCTTCTTGCAAAAAACACAGTAAAGCCTTTTGTCCACCTTTTGCCCTCACTCATTCTGCCACCTGACTGACCCTGGTGCTTCCCCATGGCCCTGCATGGTGTGGCATGTCCCCCCTATTGTCTTGGGAACTGTGAGTAACAAACTTTCTTTTACATGGCTATCACCTCTGATCTGTGGCCTCGCCATACCTGAATAAAGCCAAAATCCCAGGTACATTTTAAAACAAGTCTACAAGTCAAGGAATACCAAGGATTTCCAGCAACACCAGAGAGGCCGGCCCACGCCCGGCCTGACTCTTACTGTTAATCACTAGTTTTGCATTTCTCTTGAGGAACTAGTCAGGAGGAGAAAACCTAGACAGCAGCTCTCCTGGTCAAGACCCAGTCATTCAGAAGCCTAAATGGCATGCCTAGGTGCTTGGCTTTAAACTGTTAGCAGGTATGGAGTGCTCTGATTGTGTTTTAGAATAATATTCTGGGCTGGGCACGGTGGCTCACGCCTGTAATCCCAGCACTTTGGGAGGCGGAGGCAGGCGGATCACGAGGTCAGGAGATTGAGACCATCCTGGCTAAGATGGTGAAACCCCGTCTCTACTAAAAATAGAAAAAATTAGCCGGGCGTGGTGGTGGGCGCCTGTCGTCCCAGCTACTCGGGAGGCTGAGGCAGGAGAATGGCGTAAACCCAGGAGTCGGAGCTTGCAGTGAGCCGAGATTGCGCCACTCATTCCAGCCTGGGCAACAGAGCGAGACTCCATCTCAAAAAAAAAAAAAAAAAAAAAAAGAATAATATTCTGGCTGCTGCTGGAAGGCAGCCAGGGAGGAAGCAAGGACATTGGATACTGCAGTAATCCTGGCCAAAGGCGACTTGTGAAAAGGGGTGGGCAACTGAAGGGGCAGGAGAATGTGGCCCCTCTCAGTCTGGAGAGAGCTGCAGCACTAGGCCAGGAAGGCACTCTTCTGCGGGGGGATAGGTCTTAAATGGGGACCATGGGATTGGGTGCAGTGGCTCATGCCTGTAATCTCAACACTTCAGGAGTCTGAGGCAGGAAGACCACTTGAGCCCAGGAGTTGGAGACCAGCCTGGGCAACATAGTGAGACCCTGTCTCAAAAAAAAAAAAAAAGACAATTTAAAAACTAGCCAGATGTGATGCCTGTGGTCCCAGCTACTTGGGAGGCTGAGGTGAGATGATCACTTGATCACTTGAGCCCTGGAGGTCAAGGCTACACTGAGCCATGATCATCCCACTGCACTCCAGCCTGCGCAACAAAGTGAGACTCTTATCTCAAAAAAGGCGACAGGTGGGAACCATGGGGAACCAGAGAAGCAAAGCTATTCTCAAGTTTTCCAGTAACCATCCTCTTGCCAATGGTCTTTCTCTGAATCTTGGATTTGGGAATAGGATTTTCCTGCCTTGGGAGGCTCCCTTGGGAAATGGGAGTGTCACAGCCACAGGCATCAAAAGCCCTAGAGTTGCACTTGAATAGTGGGTAGAAAGTTCTGTGCAATGCCAGGCACTGTTGGAAACCTCTGGGTAGGGCTTACAGGGCCTTAGCCATCTGTGGGAGGCATTAGCTGGAGTGTAATAAATATGACCCTCAGGACTGGGGAGAAACAGCTCATTCCTTCATGAGGTGTGGGGCTGGCAGCCTTGCAGGCAGCCAGCCACCCTTCCCCTCTGGCCTCCATCCTGGGCACTGAGCCAGGCACTGGGTAAGAAGGCTGCTGCACCTCCTTTCTCCTCTTCCCTTTTAGAGAGAAAGATACCCCCAGCCGAGGATCCCAGAAAGGCGAGAGCAGACGCGCCATTGATTGGCCCAAAGTTCTCCGGAGCCAACCTTTGAGCAAGGAGGGCGTGGCTGGGCTCCAGTCTCCTAGTGAGGTGCACCACTGCAGGCTTGGTGACCCAGCCGTTCCTGCCCGCTGCCCCCAACCAGCCGTTCCTGCCCACAGTTCCTGTTCCCGGGCCTGTCCCCGGGTTTGTCCCCAGGGCCCGTCCCCTGGGTTTAGGTCTACCCTCCCTCGCCCCACCCCATCGCCCTCGCCATGGGTCTGGAGCTGTACCTGGACCTGCTGTCCCAGCCCTGCCGTTCAGTCTACATCTTCACCAAGAACGGCATCCCCTTCGAGCTTCGCAAAGTGGAGCTGACCAAAGCTGGGCTGGGCAGGCAGGCCCAGGGGATATTGGCTGCGGATCCCCACCTGTCCCCACTGCTTTGCAGTCGGGCCGAGAATGCAGACTAACATGAAGAATCAGACTCTCTGGTGTGGAAACTATTACGTAATTATCTATGTTATTATTTTTACTTTTTGGAGACAGGAGCTAACTCTGTCACTCAGGCTGGAGTGCAGTGGCACAATCATGGCTCACTGCAGCCTCGACCTTCCAGGCTCAAGCGATCCTCCCATCTCAGCCCCTCAAGTAGCTGGGACTACAGATGCCCACCGATATGCCCGGCCAATTTATTATTATTATTATTATTATTATTACTATTGAGAGGAGGTCTTCCTGTGTTGCCCAGGCAGGTCTCAAACTCCTGAGCTCAGGCGATCCTCTTTCCTTGGCCTCCCAAAGTGCTGGGATTACAGGCATCAGCTGTCATGCCCTGCTGGTTGTTTATTTTAAAAGAGGCTTCATCTTTGCTTAGTGAATACAAAGCATTCTTCAAAATACAGGTTAAGAGGGGGCAGAGCAGATGCAGCAGGAGGGCAGGGAAATGGAGTGGGGCTAGAATATCTTCACCCCATGTGCTTGGAAAAAACAATGAAACTACCTCCTTGTTTCCTAAGTGGAGTAGTCCTTGTTTACCTCTGCCTGGGTCTCTTCCCTTCTTGCCTCTTCTTTTTTTGACACGGTCTCACTCTGCAGCCCAGGTAGAGGGCAGTGGCATGATCCCGGCTCACTGCAGCCTTGACCTCTCAGGCTCAAGTGATCCTCCCACTTCCTCCTCTCAAGTAGAGTAGTTGGGACCACAGGCACGCAACCACATCCAGCAATTTCTTTTTTTTCCTTTTTTTTTTTTTTTTTGGTATTTGTGGAGACGGGATTTTGCCATGTAGACCAGGCTGACCTTGAACTCCAGAGCTCAAGTGATCCTCCTGCCTCCTCCTTCTAAAGTGTTGAGATTACAGACATGCACTACCATGTCTGGCCCTGGGTCTCTTCCACTTTTATGTATTTCTTGGCATTCTTCTGCCTTTTCTTTTCCTGCATCTGACTTGCTCTATCCCATGGGGCTTCTCACCCAGCTGAAGGGGCTGCTCCTAGAGGCTAGAGGCTGGAGGGCCCTGTGGCAGGGCAGTGGGGGAGGCCAGCACCCTCACCCTGAGCTCCAGCGTTTGCTGGTCTGGCTGGCATACAGAGATGCAGCTGGAGCACAATTCAGTGGAGGAGGCAGGGCTATAACTAAGCAGTAGGGCAGAGAGCAGAGCCAGAGCCCCCTGGGCAGGCCAGAAGGAGGAACCTGCTCAGCTGACTCTTCCCAACTGCTGCCCTTGGTACAACCAGCTTGAGTCACCTGCTACAGAACAGGGGCTGGACACAGAAGCAGTCTGTGGAGGGAGAATGGGCAGGGGTGTGCATGTCCATTCAGTAGAAGGCCAGAGAGGCCCACATGTAGGCCTATGATCAGACTGGAGCCTGGCTTGACTGATGCCCTCTGATCCAAACACCAGGCACCTAATGCGGCCTCTAGCACTGGCCTAGAGTGCTAAAGTGAGTCAGACCTGGGAACCCCCAGTGGGGAGGGAGCCTTGAGAGTTTGGCACAAGAAAGGAAGAAGAGCTGAGCCACCGGGGGCTGAGTGGCTGAATGGGGCAGGGATTCCCAGCAAGAATGAGGTTGGTCTGAGGGTTGGGAACATGTTTGGCTGGGACTCTGGGGTATTGACAGGTCACCCAGCCTGGCCAGTAGGGCCTAAGGCCCCAGCTGGGATAGGAAGCTGAATCAGAGGGGGCAAGCCTAGAGCCCAGGGAGGAGGCTGGAGGGGTCTGACCTATGGATGGAACTGGCTGGGGGTGGGGTGTGAATTACAGCTCCAGGGAATTGTCCTTGAGCCATGCTTCAAGGAACTGGACACAGGAAAGGTGGCCCTCTGATAGGGTCAGGGTCTGTGACCCAGTGACTAACAGAGAGGCTTCCTCTTCCCTGATGCCTCCCAGATAGGGGCCTCAGAAAGCTGCTGCTGGGAGTTTGGAGTGGGGGTGGGCAGAGACATCAGAGAACTCAGGGTTCTCCCCACTCACCTCTCTGATCTCGCCTGCAGGCCAGCAGCACAGTGATGCCTTTGCCCAGGTGAATGCCCTGAGGAAGGTGCCAGGCCTTGAAGGATGGGGACTTCACCTTGGCTGAGAGGTAACCGGTCCCTGGGCTGCTGCCGGGCCTTGTGGGGCCAGTCAGTCAGCTGTCTGTTTACTGCTGATGGCTTGGATCATGGACTGTGGGCCCTGCACCAGCCCCAGGGTGAAGAATGGGTGGAGGCAGGCAGAGGTGCCCAGTGTTGACAAGGGCTATAGAAGTCCCCTCCTGCATTGTACAAGTGAGGAAACTGAGGCTGGAGGAGGGGAGGGACTTGCACAAGGCCACAGGGCCCAGTCTGCTTCCGGGCCTCCTCACCGCCAGTCTTCCCCTCCGAAAAAAAGAGAGTGCTAAGTTTCGAGGAGCGGCTGTACCAGGCATCTTAGTGCTACCATTTTGCCCACAAATCCTGTGGGGCAAGTGCTGTTTCCCTGGAGAGTCGAGGGACCACTCAGCGAGCTTCAGTGGCTATTTGCTAAACATCCACCAGGGCCAGACCCCATTTAAGCCCTGGGGCTTGAGCAGTGAACGTGTCTACGTCCTTCTCCTCATGGAGCTCACATTCCATTAATAGAAGGGGGAGCTGACAGTAACCCATGTAAACATGGAACATATCGGATGTTGATGGATGCCATGGAAAAAATAAACAGGGTAAGAGTGGGGGTGTGTGTCATTATGAGTAGGATGTTGAGGGAAGACTCCCTGGAGGAGGTGGCATCTGAGCAGAGAGCTGTAGGAATGTGCAAGGCATGAGGGGAAGGGTGTTCTCACTGGAGGGAAGAGTGAGGGCGAAGGCTCCAGGTGGGACAATGCATGGGGTTCAGACTGGAGAGCAACGGGCCAGGGTGGGTGCAGTGAGCAGGAAGAGCAGGAGGTCATGACAGAGGGGAGCATGGGACACTGGGAAGGCTTTGGCTCTTACCACAGGTAGATTGAGTCGCTGGAGGGTTTTGAGCAGAGGAGAACTGTGATCTGACTTACGTCATAAAGGATCCCCCTGGCAGGGGTGAGAAAGCCACTGCAGTCATCTGGCATGCAGCGCTGGAGCCCCAGACCAAGGTGGTGGTGGTGCAGGGTTGGTGGGGATTGTGGTCAGTTCTGACTTTTATTGAAATCTAACTGCAGGGTTTGCTGAAGGGTTGGAGGTGGGTGGGAAAAATGAAAGCCAAAACCAGCCTCTAGGTTGGTGGCTGCATGGTGGCGTCCTTTACCGAGGCCAAATAGTGCCTCCTTGGTGGAGCTGGATTCACATTCAGAGCCTGGGATCACTGGATGGTCCAACACCCATAGAGGCATGATGAGCTCTGGGGGTCAGACTGCACAACCCTTCACCATAGGTGAACAGGAGATGGGACAGGGTGGGGAGCAATGCTGCCATGTCACCTGGAAGGCTCTCTCCCTGCTGGCCTTGCTCCTGGCCCTGTCCACGCTTTGGATATGTTGGGGAGATATCCAACATGCTCTCGTTCTTCAGACTCACAGTGGATGCCCCTTCCTCCTGGAAGCCTTCCCTGAGCCCCTGCTGAAGTTCATGACATTTTGTTTCTTACTTGCTGCCCTTAGTTGAGATGATAGTCTGGCCCCGTGTAGGGCTGTGTGACCCTGGGCACTTACCTAACCTCTCTGAGCCTCACATCCCTCCTCTGCATCATGGGGATAGTGAAAATGCCCCAGAAAATGGCTGAAGAGTGTTCAGGGCATGTTTTCTGCCCCTGCCATGTCCCCCCAGTGTGGCTAGCTTGCTGTGTATGAACTGCATGTACAAAGCACCTGACCACTGGTACCCCCAGGACCTGCAGGCCCGCGCCCGTGGGGATGAGTACCTGTCATGGCAGCACATGGCCCTGCAGAGTAGCTGCTGCTGGGCCATGTGGCAGAAGGCGAGCCATGGAGGGCAGGGACATCTCCCAAGATGCCAAGGGATGCTGCTTTCACTTTACAAAATCCTGTTTAGACCTGAGACCAAATCCTGGAATGCCAGAGACTGCCTAATTCACCCAACTTGTTTCCTAGGAGGGAAACCAAGGACCAGAGCCAAGGAAGGATTCCCCTAATATGCCTTAATTCCAGAGCTATGAGCAGTTAATCCTATGCTCTTTTGCATACTCCAGGTTGCCTGGGAATCTTGCCTTTAGGGGGAGAAAATAAACAAACCCTCACTTTGCTACACACATAATTCGTAGATGGAGAAGTATGAAGTGAAAAAAGTCAAACTAGGAAGAAGTGAGGAGACATTTCAATAAACGTTTGTCTGATGTCTCGGTATGAAAGGACTTTCTAACCCTCAGAACAGTGGGAGAACTCAACAAAGAAATAACCACTACATGCCAGCTGCGGTAGCATCTGTAATGAGCACACCTGTAATCCCAGCACTTTGGGAGGCCGAGGCAGGCAGATCACCTGAGATTGGGAGTTTGAGACCAGCGTGACCAACATGGAGAAACCCCGTCTCTACCAAAAATGCAAAATTAGCCGGGTATGGTGGCGCATGCCTGTAATCCCAGCTACTCGGGAGGCTGAGTCAGGAGAATTGCTTGAATCTGGGAGGCAGAGATTGCAGTCAGCTGAGATCACGCCATTGAACTCCAGCCTTGGCAACAAGAGCAAAACTCTGTCTCAAAAAACAAACAAACAAAAAAACATATACAAGGACATGTTGTGTAAGAAAAAATGGATTAAACATAAAACAAGCAAAAAACCGGGAAGGATCTTGATAAAAGATATGTCAGAAGGAGGTAATGTTCTTTAAGATGCTCTTAGAAACCCTTAAGAGAGGCCTGGTATGGTGGCTCACCCCTGTAATCCCAGCATTTTGGGAGGCCAAGGTGGGCAGATCACTTGAGGTCAGGAGTTTGAGACCACCCTGGGCAACATGATGAAACCCCATCTATATTAAAAATACAAAAATTAGTTGGGTGCGGTGGCACACTCAGGAGACTGAGACAGGAGAATCACTTGAACCTGGGAGGCGGAGGTTGCAGTGAGCTGACATCATACCACTGCACTCAAGCTCCACTTAGAGCGAGACTGTCTCAAAAGCAAACAAAGAAAAATAAGAGAAACCCATCAGACAAGAGACAGGAAAAAAATGAGTCATAGCTCACTGCATTCTAGATCTCCTGGGCTCAAGCGATCCTCCTGCCTCCGCCCAGGTAGCTAGAACTACAGGTGCACACCACAACACTGGGATTCTTTTTTTTTTTCTTTTTTTTTGTAGAAAACAACGAAGGGAATCTTGCTATGTTGCCTAGCCTGGTCTTGAACTCCTGGGCTCAAGCAATCCTCCCTTCTTGGCCTCCCAAAGAGCTGAGATTACAGGTGTCAGCCACTTTGCGTGACCACAATTTCAATCATATTTAAAATGTACAATTCAAGTGATTTTGCCACACTAACCACAGACTCATGTTTAAGCCACACCAACGGATTTCCATGTTTTAAATAACATATTTTGCCACCCCCTAGTGGACAGTGGCTCACCACCGGCACAAGGGGCTACATAGGCAGTCAATGGGAACCAGGCGGGGACGGGAAATGTCGTGAACCCAACGGTCCCTGCCCAGCCCCACCCGCGTCCGCAACGTGTAACCACATCTCCTGACTGCCCAAGAGAAGCGCAGATTTCCATACTGAACATGAAATTGCCTGACTTCGAAATGGTGGCAAATCATTAAAAAAAATTTTAAACTCACTTTGCATTGGTTATTAGGGTCGAACTTGGGGAAGACCCCTACAGGTGTGTGTGTGTCTGTATGTTAGGGGTGTTCAGACCTTTAATAGGGCTAGAAACCAGGCAACCACACCGCGGAAAGCTTGAGGAGAGGGAAATCCACCAGACGCCAAGCAGGAGGGTCAGGGAAGAGACAGGGTGGGGCCACTACCGGGTTAAAGACTTGTAGTGGGTGGGGCTACACGTAGGGCCGAGACGACCGGATTTCCGGAAATCAGAGCCGGCACACGTGACTTTTGTTTGCAGAAGTGGGAAGGTACCCTAGGCAGCCAATCGGGGAGCGCTGAGTCTCTGTCCAGCCAATGAGAAGCCAGGTTGTTTTAGCGCCTCGCCCCTCCTCTCCGGTCCGCGAGCCTTGGGTATCTCCAGCTTTTTTCCGCCAGAGCTGTTTCCGTTCCTCTGCCCGCCATGCCGTTCCTAGAGCTGCACACGAATTTCCCCGCCAACCGAGTGCCCGCGGGGCTGGAGAAACGGCTGTGCGCCGTCGCTGCCTCCATCTTGGGCAAACCTGCAGACGTGAGCGTGGGCCGGGCAGCACTGGGCGAGGGGAAGTTGGTGGGCCAGGGGTCCGGCCTTGTCCCTGCTCTGCCTCCGCAACAGCGACCCCGATCCCTTTCCCCAGGGACCACCCCCCACCCCATTCCGCAGGCCAAGCTCTGACTTTCCGTGCTTCACGATCCCGCGGCTCCCCCTCCGCACGTCTTTCCCTTGTCGCCCTCCCCAGTCATGACCCGGACGTGACCTTCAGGGACCTCGGCCTGTACTGGGATCCCTGTCCCCGCGAACACTGCGCGTTTCGGCTTTCGCGCGCTCGGGTCGGGACCCCAGACGTAGCCCGACTGGCTCCAGCTTCGGGTAAAACTTTTCATGTTCCCCTCAGCTTGTGAACGTGACGGTACGGCCGGGCCTGGCCAGGGCGCTGAGCGGGTCCACCGAGCCCTGCGCGCAGCTGTCCATCTCCTCCATCGGCGTAGTGGGCACCGCCGAGGACAACCGCAGCCACAGTGCCCACTTCTTTGAGTTTCTCACCAAGGAGCTAGCCCTGGGCCAGGACCGGTGCGCAGGGGTAGTAGGCCCGGAATATTATTCTAAAACACAATCAGAGTACTCCATTCCTGCTAACAGTTTAAAGCCAAACACCTAGGCAGGCCATTTAGGCTTCTGAATGACTGGGTCTTGACCAGGAGAGCTGCTGTCTAGGTTTTCTCTTCCTGACCAGTTCCTCAAGAGAAATGCAAAACTAGTGATTAACAGTAAGAGTCAGGCAGGGCGCGGTGGCTCACGCCTGTAATCCCAGCACTTTGGGAGGCCGAGGCGGGCGGATTATGAGGTCAGGAGATCGAGACCATCCTGACTAACACGGTGAAACTCCGTCTCTACTAAAAATACAAAAAACTAGCCGGACGTGGTGGGCGCCTGTAGTCCCCGCTACTCGGGAGGCTGAGGCAGGAGAATGGCGTGAACCCGGGAGGCGGAGCTTGCAGTGAGCCGAAATTGCGCTACTGCACACCAGCCGGGGCGACAAAGCGAGACTGTCTCAAAAAAATACCAAAAAACAAGCAAAAGAAAACAAAACAAAAACAGTAAGAGTCGTCCCAACGCAGTGGCTTATGCCTGTAATTCCAGCACTTTGGGAGGCCGAGGCAGGCAGATCACCTGTGGTTGGGAGTTCGAGACCAGCCTGACCAACATGGAGAAACCCTGTCTCTACTACAAATACAAAATTAGCTGGGCGTGGTGGTGCATGCCTGTAATCCCAGCTACTCAGAAGGCTGAGGCAGGAGAATCACTTTAACCCGGGAGGCGGAGGTTGTGGTGAGCTGAGATTTTGCCACTGAACTCCAGCCTGGGCAAAAAGAGCAAAACTCCTTCTCAAAAAAACAAACAAACAAACAAAAAAAAAAAACACACACACACACAATCCAAAAACCAGTAAGGGTCATGTCCTGGGAGGCTAACTCAGCCGACTGTTAGGTCACCATGCTTATAGCCAAGAAATGTGGGATGCTGCTGGGCCCTGAGCGGTCAGATAAACTACTTTCTCTGATAATTAGAAGGCTACAGGAAATGTTTTGTTTTGTTTTGTTTTGGGTTTCTTTGTGTGTTTTTAGAGACAGGATCTTGTTCTGTTGCCCCAGGCTGGAGTGCTATGGCTCAATCAGAGCTCACTGCAGCCTCGAACTCCTGGGCTCAAGCAATCCTCCCACCTCAGCCTCCCAAGTAGCTAGAACTACAGGTATGCATCACCACGCCTGACTAATTAAAAAAAAAATTTCTTTTGGTTGCGTGTGGTGTCTTGGCACCCGTAATCCCAGCACTTTGGGAGGTAGAGGTGGGAGCATCTCTTGAGCACAGGAGTGCAGGGCTAGCCTGGGCAACATGGCAAGACCCTGTCTCTACAAAAATAAAAAAGAAATGAGCTGGGCGTGGTGGGGTGCACCTGTTGTCCCAGCTTCTTAGGAGGCTGAGGTGGGAATATTGCTTGAGCCTGGGATGTCAAGGCTGCAGTGAGCCATGACTGTGCCACTGCACTCCAGGCTGGGCAACAGAGTGAGACCCCATCTCTGAAAAAATATTTTTTTGGGGAGCCAGGCACAGTGGCTCATGGTAATCCCAGCACTTTCAGAGGTGGAGGTGCACAGATCATTTGAGGTACAGAGTTTGACACCAGCCTGGACAACACGGTGAAACCCTGTTTCTACTAAAAACACAAAAATTAGCCAGGTGTGATAGTGCGTGCCTATAATCCCAGCTTCTGGGGAGACTGAGGCAAGAGAATCGCTTGAACCTGGGAGGTGGAGGTTGCAGTGAGCTGTGATCATGCCATTGCACTCCAGCCTGGGCAACAGAGCAAGACACTATCTCAAAAAAAAAAAAAAAAAAGTTTGTTTTGAAATCCTGGACTCAAGCAATCCCCCCAACCTGGACCTCCCAAAGTACTAGGATTATAAGTATGAGCTACCACACTCAGCCACTTTTTTTTTTTTTGAGATGGAGTCTCGCTCGGTTGCCCAGGCTGGAGTGCAGTGGCGCGATCTCGGCTCATTGCAAGGTCCGCCTCCTGGGTTCATGCCATTCTCCTGCCTCAGCCTCCCGAGTAGCTGGGACTACAGGCACCCACCACCACGCCCGGCTAATTTTTTGTATTTTTAGTAGAGACGGGGTTTCACCGTGTTAGCCAGGATGGTCTCGATCTCCTGACCTCGTGATCCCCCTGCCCCGGCCTCCCAAAGTGCTGGGATTACAAGCGTGAGCCACCGCACGCGGCCTCAGCCACATTTATTAATTTCACTCTTGGCAAACATCAGGGGGAAGCTGACCCACACGGCCTGGGAAGGGGGTTGTCTTTTGCATAGAGACCATGACCAGGTCTGGGACAGAGGAAAGTCAAATAAATCACACATTAGAGTTAGAAGCAGAGGCTCAGGCTGAGCCCAGGTTTATTATCCAAAATCAAAATGAAATGCAGTGATTAAAGGACACAAGGCCTCAGTGTGCATCATTCTCATTGTGGCTTTCAGGCGGCTGTGGAAGACAGGGTGGGGATGGTGGCTTCGGGAGGTGAGGTGCTCTGGGACTTGGGCAAGTCTTAGGCAAGCCATTCCTGCTTTCTGGGCCTGGCTCCCATGGGCCATTAGAAATGAAAATGCTTTGTGGACTGCTGAGGACGGTGCAAGGGTGAGGTTTCCCAGCTCACCGGATCATGGCCAGCACCCAGGGCATCAGCTTCTGCTTTATGGTGGGGTCTGCAGGTGGGAAGTCCTTGGCCTTCAGAATGACCTCATGGGCCTCCTGGAAGAGGTCCTCCCCCACTGCTGCCTCCACGCGCTGCCGCCATGTGGCCAGCTTGGGTCGGCCTTCGAAGACTTGGCAGCCAGCACCCACGGGCTGTGGGGAAAAGGGTACAGACTGGGGATGGATGGTTGTGAGGGCAGGGATGGGCAGCATCTGATTTGGGGACCACAGATCTCCAGGAGGTGTTTGCACACACACTTAAGCACAGTGCCATAGCCCGGTGTGGCAGCATAAGCAGGACTTCAGCAACTAGCCAGGGCCCCCTGCCTAGTGGGTTCACCTGCCCACAGCACTCACATGCATCAGCTCCGTGATGGCTACGAGGTCAGCTAAGGAGATGTGAGGACCAGTAAGGAAGGCCTTGTTCTGGAGGAACTTGTCCTCGAGCAACTGCAGGGTCACATCCAACTCTGCCAGGGTGGCTGCCAGTGTCTGGGGAGATACTGGCTCACCCAGGAAAACAGGGAACATCACCTGGGGATTGGGCAGGCAAAGTCGGGAGTTACTGGAGTAGGGAGTTAGTTTTGATTTGCATTTCCCTAATGATTAGTGATGCTGAGCATCTTTTCTTTTTTTTTTTTTTTTGAGACTGAGTCTTGCTCTCTCGCCCAGGCTGGAGTGCAGTGGGGTGATCTCGGCTCACTGCAAGCTCCGCCTCCTGGGTTCACGCCATTCTCCTGCCTCAGCCTCCCGAGTAGCTGGGACTACAGGTGCCCGCCACCACGCCCAGCTAATTTTTTTTTTATTTTTAGTAGAGACAGGGTTTCACTGTGTTAGCCAGGATGGTCTCAATCTCCTGACCTTGTGATCTGCCTGCCTCCGCCTCCCAAAGTGCTGGGATTACAGGCGTGAGCCACCGCGCCCGGCCAAGCATCTTTTCTTGTACTTGTTGGCCAAAATGATAATATTCTCAACACATTGGGTTAAGTAAAATATATCAATTTCCTTTTACTTTTTTTTTTTCTTTTGAGACAGTGTTCAGCTCTGTCACCCAGGCTGGAGTGAAGTGGCACCATCTCGGCACACTGCCAACTTTGCCCCCTGGGTTCAAGCAATTCTCCTGCCTCAGCATCCTGAGTAGCTGGGATTATAGGCACAGGCCACCAAGCCTGGCTAATTTTTGTGGTTTTAGTAGAGACAAGGTTTCCCCATGTTGACCAGGCTGGTCTCGAACTCCTGACCTCAGGTGATCCACTGCCTTGGCCTCCCAAAGTGCTAGGATTATTGGCATGAGCCACTGTGCCTGGACTCTTTTTACTTTTTAAATGTGCCTACTAGAAAATTTAAAATTACGTATGTGGCTCACTTTATACTTCTATCGGACAGCACTTGACTAAATGAACTAAATTCCAGAGAGGCATAAGCCGTTCCTAGATGAGCTACTTTCATTCCAATTTCATTTCCTTGGGCCCAAGCAGGCTGGGAGAAAGACTGTCACAGGCATGGGCTTTTCTGACTGAGCAGCAGTTTGGGAACTGGGGGCAGGGATGAAAAGCAGAGAGATCTTACAGGCAACATCGTAGTTGGTGATTAGATTCCAAAGCCATGCTAGACTGAGCTAGTGACCTGATCTCACATTCAAGATATTTGAAACCAAAGATAAACTGAAACCAACTAAACCTGCAACCCAGCCCACCTCCTGATTAGCTTAGAAGAGAACAGCCTCACATCCTGGCTACCTGACACAGGGAAGTGCAAGCCCTTTCTTGGGGGTGTTTATTATGCAATTCAATCTCTGCTCTTCTTTTATCATAATGTCTGGCACACAAGGATACATCATGAGGCCGGGCATGGTGGCTCATGCCTACAATCCCAGCACTTTGGGAGGCCGAGATGGGAGGATCACCTGAGGTCAGGAGTTCAAGACCAGCCTGGCCAACATGGTGAAACCCTGTCTCTACAAAAATACAAAAATTAGCCAGGCATGATGGCAGGTGCCTGTAATTCTAGCTACTTGGGAGGCTGAGGTGGGAGAATCGCTTGAACCCAGGAGGCGGAGGTTGCAGTGAGCCAAGATCGTGCCATTGCACGCCAGCCTGGGCAATGGAGTGAGAGTCCGTCTCAAAAAAATAAAAAATAATGATAATACATCATGAGACATGCAAAGAAGCAGGCAAATGTGACCCATAATCAAGAGGGAGAAAACAACAATCAATAGAAATAGACCCGTAGGCTGGGTATGGTGGCTCATGCCTGTAATCCCAACACTTTGGGAAGCCAAGGAGGACGAATCACTTCAGGTGGAGAGTTCGAAACCAGCCTGGCCAACATGGTGAAACCCGGTCTCCACTACAAATAACAAAAGTTAGCCAGGTGTGCTGGTGGGTGCCTGTAATCCCAGCTACGCAGGAGGCTGAGGCAGGAGAATCGCTTGAGCCTGGGAGGTGGAGGTTGCAGTGAGCTGAGATCGCACCATTGCACTCAGCCTGGGTGACAGAGTGAGACCCCATCTCAAAAACAAAACAAAACAAAAAAACCAGACCCACAGAACACCTACGTGTTGAAATTAGTTGACAAAGATTTTTAGGTAACAGTGATAAATATGTTAAAGAATTTACAAGAAAAGACAGATAAAATGGATGAACAGATGGTGAATTTCATCAGAGAAGTGGAAATTCTAAAAAACAACCAAATGGAATTTCCAGAGCTGAAAAATACATATCTCAAACAAAGAATGTATTGGATGGGCTTAATAGCAATTTGGCACAACAGAGGAAAGAATCTGTGAAGGCAAAGACAGGTCAGTAGAAATAATCCAAAACTGAAAAGAAGAGACTGGTGCCTGAACACCTTTGGGGAATGCTCTCGCTGCCGCCCCCCACATTCCCAGCCTCACCTTATGCCACAAGGCCCGGAGGCAGCTTCTCCGCAGAGTCGTGTGCTGCCATGCCAGGTACTCATCCACACGGGCACGGGCCTGCAGGTCCTGAGGGTACCAGTAGTCAGGGACCTTATATTTGCGCGTCAGGTAGAGCAGGATGGCCACACTGTGGGTGTGGGGGTCATGATGGGTAAGGGAAGGGCACTGTGCTGGGTATTTCATACATAGTCGCTTTTTTTTTTTTTTGATACGGAGTCTCGCTCTGTCGCTCAGGCTGGAGTGCAGTGGTGCGATCTTGGCTCACTGCAACCTCCACCTCCCGGGTTCAAGTGATTCTCCTGCCTCAGCCTCCCAAGTAGCTGGAACTACAGGTGCGTGCCACCATGCCTGGCTAATTTTTTGTAGTTTTAGTAGAGATGGGGTTTCACCATATTAGCCAGGATGGTCTCGAACTCCTGACCTTGTGATCTGCCTGCCTCGGCCTCCCAAAGTGCTGTGATTACACGTATAAGCAACCGCACCTGGCCTTTTTTTTTTTTTTTTTTTTTTTTTTTTTTGGAGACAAGGTCTTCCTCAGTCACCCAGGCTGGAGTGCAGTGGTGCAGTCTCAGCTCACTGCAGCTTCAATTTTTATAGGAGTGCACCACCATGCCTGGCTACCTTTTTTCTTTTTTGTAGAGATGGGATCTCACTGTATTGCCAGGCTGGTCTTAAACTCCTATCCTCAAGCAATCCTCCAGCCTTGGCATCCCAAAGCGCTGGCATTATAGGCATGAACCACTGTGCCCAGCACACTTCTTTAACCTTTCTGACAATTTGCCAAAGTATTAGCCTCATTTTCCAGAGAAGAAAACCAGGCTTAGAAAGGCAGAGACTTGCCCTAGGGCACACAGCTCTTAATGGCAGAGCTGAGAATCTTTCTGAGGCTAATACCCAAGCTTTTCCTACCACCAGGCAAAATCCCACAACAGAATGTCTTGCCAAATGTTTAGAGACAGTTTCTGATCAGAGAACCAGAGAGAGCTTCCAGGAGAACGGGGCATCAAAGCTGAGCTTTAAAGAAGCTCAGTTCTTTCCATTCGGTATCCACTCTCATCTGCTGGGATTCCGACCAGCCTCTGATGGCCTGACTGTTCAAAAAGGCTTCCGTGTCCCTTTGTTCTTTCTGTCATTCTTTCTGCCAAGAATCAGCTCCTATCTAAGCTGACTGGGGTAGTTTGGCTTCCTAAAGTACCACTCAGGAAGCACTCCTGCAGCTGCAGGATCCTAGAACAACAGAACAGACAAGGCCCCCTGGCACTCTCCTCCTTCCCTGGGTTTTGAGGGCCGCCATGGTGATGAGATGAGCATGGACCTGGAAGGACACAGGATGTGTCCATTTGGAGACACAGAAAAGCTTTCAGGAACTTGGGGTTTCCCAAAGGTTGGGCATGCAGGCCAAAAGGGCAGAAAACCTCTGTATCTGCCACGGGCCTATATTCTCTTTTAAGCTGGGGCTACACACGTGTCCCAGCTTAACGACTCCGTTGTCTGTGCAGGGTGCCCAGGAGCTCCTTTTGCTCCCAGCCAATTGTTCAAGCCACCTCTGAGGAGGGCTGCAGGTCTCTGTGAGCCACAGACCTGAAGGTGAGAGTAGTGACAGAGGCAGAGATTGCACATTGACTCTGGCTGGTACCTGGGGGTCACAACGCTGAGTGACACAAGGACTCAGGACACCTGGGGCACCAGGGAGGAAGACGGGCCCTGGCAGAATGTCAGAGGAATTCATCGGAGGTGCGTCCATCCTGAGATTTCAGAGATGAGCTTTAAAGCACAAACTCCAGGTTCTTGTTAGGGGAAGGGTGACTCTGGTGACAAAAGGGGCAGAACTGGGGAAAGATTGGCTTTTCCTGAAGAGGATTCAACTTCTTGGGACCAGCTGTGATGTAAGACGTCCATATCTGGTGGCTCTTCCATGGGGAAGACCCATCCTGGGAAGCTGCAGCCCAGAGATGGAGCCACCGGGCAGCCCAGATGCCACTGAGCCATCGCCACACAAGCTTGGCCAGAGGCCTGCCCCACGGTGGGCAAAGCTGCCATCGTCCTCTGGCCTACCCTGTCTCAAGGATACTCTCACCACTCACCAGCAACCAAAGCACTGGTGTGGAAGTAAAGTAGATATTTGCTTTTCTAATCATCAGGGTGAACTGGAATAGCAGGAAGGCAAGGGCCTGGGGTCCAGTACTGACTCTCTGCAGGATGCGGGGCACAGAGACTCTCTGCCTCTGAAGACTTTAGTTTCCTTGTCTATGAAATAGAGGGTTAGAACAGGATGGTTCCAGCAGGCCTGGCAGCAGTCCTAGGGTCCCAGTTACCTCTCCGTCAAGGTGAAGTCCCCGTCCTTCAAGGCTGGCACCTTCTTGAGGGGGTTCACCTGGGCAAAGGCATCGCTTAAGTGCTGACCTGGGAAGAGTCCAGCATGGTGGGTGGTGGGAGGAGAACGCTGAGCCCGCCATGGCCTGTGCCCCTCCCTGCAATGCTCTGGCCCCAGTTTCACAGTTCTTCTTCCCACCAGTCTGCACTCCTGGTTGGCAAAGACTGGAAGGGCCCCTGCGGGAGGAGGAGGAGACCACTCCACCGGCTGGTACAAAATAGACAACACCCCTTGCTAAGTCCTGTAGGCACAGCCTCCTCCCACAGGCTGCCCCTCTGCAACAGAGCTCACTGTGCAGGGTGTGGTTCCTGGACCTTTGCATGCACCCTACCCATCTCCTCTTTCCACTATTGCCAGCTTCATGAACTCACAATCAGAGCACCCCAAGCTGCACGATAGGTCACCTGAGGGGACTGACTACCTTGTCCCTTCCACCATTAATTCTAAGGCAGGGTCATGAAACACAGAGAAGTGGTCTTTTTCTGGTATCTACCTACTTAGAAGCAACTTCTACTGGCCCCACCATGTCCCTTTGTTCACCCTGCCCTGGGCACTGTGGAGCTGTGTGTAGCATACCTGCTACCACCCCCTGTGCCCCAAACTTTTATTCCCCTTACAGTTGGGGTCTCACTATGTTGCCCAGGCTGGTCTTGAACTACTGGCCTCAAGTAATCTTCCTACTTCGGCCTCCCAAAGTGCTGGGATTACAGGTGTGAGCCACCATGCCCAGCCTGCTACCCTCTCTTCACCCTCCCTTCAGACTGTTCCTTCACCAGGAAAACCCTCCTCTGTCTCCTGGGAAAACACACTTCCCTCTGCACCACTACATTTGACAACCAGCTTGGACGTCCTCTTGTCCCCCATTCCCTTTCCTCTACTCCACACTCTGCAGAGGAAGTCCTTGCGCAGGACAGTGGGCAGTTTGCAGAAGAGATTATGTGGAGAAGTTTCAGGCAGAGGGCCAGCCATGGAGTGGGAGCCCTGGGCAGAAGGCTTAGCCAAGTAGAGTCGCCTTACTTGCCCCACCAGCCATACCTGGATTCTGCTTCCAACCCCTCCTACTACCCCACCCTGCACTGGGCCTGGGCCTGGGCCTGCCAGCTGAGTCCTCAAGGGCCTTGGAGGCATGCTAGAGAAACAAAACAGGGTGTAGGGCTCATCAAGCCCCAGGGTCCCCCTGCTGCTTCCAGCATCAGCAGCCTGGGGCAACCTACCTCCCCAGCAGGAACAAGAGGCAGAGGACAAGGTTTCGGGCGGCAGAGGTTGCAGTGAGCTGTGATCCTGCCACTGCACTCCAGCCTGGGCGACAGAGCGAGACTCCGTCTCAAAAACAAACAAACAAATAAACAAAATGCCTTGGGCCAGGCACAGTGGCTCATGCCTGTAATCCCAGCACTTTGGGAGGCTAAGCCGGCAGATCATTTGATGTCAGGAGTTCGAGAACAGCCTGACCAAAATTGTGAAATCCCATCTCTGTTAAAAATACAAAAAAATTAGCCAGACATAGTGGCACACATTTGTAATCTAGCTACTCAGGAGGCTGAAGCAGGAGAATTGCTTGAACCCGGGAGGTGGTGGTTGCAGTGATTCGAGATCCGTGCCACTGCACTGCAACAAAGCAAAAGCAAGACTCTGTCTCAAAAAAAAAAGGACAAGGACAAGGTCAGAGGCAAAACAGGAGGAACAGAGGAAGGAAGGGACAAAGAGGGACCCCAATGCAGACTGGACGAGTGCAGAGGGCAGGGATGGAAAGTCACGTCCTGAGCTGTTTGCTGTTGCAGAATCTCAGCAGCTGGGCCATAAAGAAGGGACTTGACGCTGTCCCAGTCTCTACACTTGGCACCCTTGACCTCTCTCATCCCACCTTTCCCTAGGCCGAGGTCACACCTGCTTTCATTTTGTTTTTTTTTGTTTTTTTTTTTTAAGACGGGGTCTCGCTAGATTGCCCTGACGGGAGTGCAGTGGCTATTCAAGGGCACCATGATAGTGCACTGCGGCCTGGAATTCCTGGGCTCAAGCGATCCTCCCACCCCAGCCTCTCGAGTTGCTGGGACTACAGGCGTGTGCCCCTGCACCCAGCTGCGCCCGTTTTTGTCCTCCTGTCTGGCTTCTCTTCATGATCCCCACCCCTTTATTCGGCCTCAGGGGAACCCCGTGGTCTATTCCGTGAGACCGAGCAGAGTTTTGGGGAGCCCCGACTCTTGGATCTCCCTGCTGGCTCACCTTTCTCTGTTCGGTCTCCAAACCAGACCAGCAATGGCCCCAGGAAGAAGGTGGCGCTGGGAGAAGTTCCCTAAGCTATGTATGCCTACCTGTCCCCTTCCTGACTTTTCGGTTCCCCAAACCCGAGGCTGGACCTACCTTTAATCAGATCCACGATGCGCAGCTCGAAGGGAATGTCGTTCTTCTTGGCAAAGATGTAAACAGCGCGGCAGGGCTGGGACAGCAGGTCCAGGTACAGCTCCAGGCCCATAGTGGGGACCGACCGACCTGACCGGAAACCAGAGGGAGTCAGCAAACTCCAGTGCCAGGACTCGGGTCTCGGACCTCAGACCACGCCCCTGCGGCTACGCACCCCGACCGCTGTGCCCCATTGGGCGGCACGGACGCCTGGGACACTCTTTAGTCCAATTGCGGGCGGCGGGCGGCCTGTCTCAGGGCTGGGCCCGCCTGGCTCCTGTGGGATCAGGGTGGGTGGCCAAGAGACCGTTGTCTCTCAGGGGGACGCACAGAGAGGCCCCAGTCCCATCCCTTTCGTGCCTGGCTCGCTCATTTCACTTAGCATAATGTCTTCAAGGTGCATCTGTGTTGAAGCGTGTGTCAGAATTTCCCACCGTCCGCATTTTAGAGGAGGAGACAGACACTGAATGATTATAGACCCAGAAAGTCTGGCTCCAAAGTCCATCCTCTTGGCTCAACACTGCAGAGTCCTTGGTGCCAGCAAGTGGCAAAGCCTCAGGGCTTACGTTCAGTGTTTTGTGGTCACTCGCTTCACTGCAGTCGCACTCCCTGGAATGTCACAGCCTTGGTCTTCCTGCCCCTGCCAGCACAGTGCCATCTATCGCATTCCCTGGGTTTATTTCTTCCTTTCTCCAGGCCTGTGTTTCTCCATCTTTAAAATGACAGGGAAGCTAGAGCCCTCCAGAGTCCTTGCAAGTCCACCCCCCTGGATTCATCTGCTGAGCCGTAAGCCCAGGCCTGCCCCTTGCTGCCATGGAGCCTGTCAAATAGTATCAGGGTCACATGTCATTTTCTAAAACGAATCCCACTGAAAGTGTGTCAGCCAACGCATAATGTTTTCTAGAGAATAAGGAACATTTCTGCAAATAAAGTGGAAGTAACAACTGTTTTATTTTATTTAGATAGAGTCTCACTCTCTTGCCCAGGGTAGAATGCAGTGGCATGATCACAGCTCACTACAGACTCCAACTCCTGGGCTCAAGCCATCCTCCCATCTCAGCCTCCCCAAGTAGCTGGGACTACAGGTGCGCACAAAGACGCCCAGCTAGTTAAAAAAAATTTTTTTCTGTAGAGGCAGGGTCTCACTATGTTGCCTAGGCTGATCCTCCCACCTCTGCCACCTGCTGGGATTACAGATGTGAGCCACTACAACTGGCCAGTAATAATGATTTTTAACTGGAAAAAAAATTAAGGAAAGATGAGAAATTCAGATTTCCATGTTAAAGTTTTGAAAGGAGGTAGACACTCAGAGAAGGCAATGGCTGCCTTATCCTCACCTCTGGATAACTCCAGTCAGAGGCCCAAGGAGGAGCTGTCAGGATTCTGGTTCAAGGCTCAGCCTGTCTTTTAAGTTCAAAACCTAATTTGGGGCGGGAGTGGTGGCTCATTCCTATAACCCCAGCACCTTGGGAGGCTGAGGCCGGCGGATCACCTGAGTTCAGGAGTTTGAGACCAGCCTGGCCAACTTGGTGAAACCCCATCTCTGCTAAAAATATAAAAATTATCTGGGCGTGGTGGCATGCACCTGTAATTCCAGCTACTCAGGAGGCTGAGGCAGGAGAATCGTTGAACTCTAGAGGCAGAGGTTGCCGTGTGCCAAGACTGCGCCATTGCACTCCAGGCTGGGCGACAAGAGAGTAACTCCAACTAAAAAACAAAACAACTAATTTGGTCCACGTTTCAGGATTGATCATTTTCTTTGGGTCTGACTCACATAAACCAACTCACAAAGGCTGTATTTATTAATTTATAGAAACAAGATAAAAGTGAGAGTGTGTGGGTTGGTTCGTTTGTTTGTTTTTTGACTTTGCCCCTCTCTGTCACTCAGGCTGAAGTGCAGTGGTGCAATCTCTGCTCACTGCAACCTCTGCCTCCTGGGTTCAAGCGATTCTCGTGCCTCAGCCACCCGGGTAGCTGGGATTTCAGGCATGTGCCACCATGCTCAGCTAATTGTATTTTTAGTAGAGACAGGGTTTCACCATGTTGGCCAGGCTGGTCTTGAACTCCTGGCCTCAAGTGACCTGCCAGCCTCGGCCTCTCAAAGTGCTGGGATTACAGGCGTGAGCCACCGTGCCCGGCCTAGAAAGAAGAGAAAAGTCATTTAGACAGAATGCTCCCAACCATTGCTCAGTGCTCTCTTGGCAGTGTAGTCTCCTAGGAAGCCTCGTGGGTGTTACTGGCCAGGACCAGGTCCGTTCTGCCCATGCACAGTAAATTAATCACTGTGACATGAGTTTTGCAAAAGACTAAAGATTTATTCACAAGGGTGCCAAGCAAGGAGGTAGGATAATAGCTCTCAAATCCACCTCCCCGAAAATAAGGCTTAGGGATAAGCCTTGCTTCCAAGCAATAAAGCACAGACCCCAGTCACACTCAAGGGGAGGGGGCTATACAAGGATGTGAATACCAGTCTGCCTGCCTCGTGGGCCTACAACGCAGAAGGGCCATGCACTTGGTTTAAAACTTTGTTGTTGCTGTCTTGACATTCTTAACAATTTAAAAATAAGGGTCCCCACATTTTCATGTGTAGCCAGTCCTGTCCAAGGAGTCCAAAGAGGTCATGAGGGTGGACAGGTCACTGTCTCCTCTGGGCAGTGATGGGGCCACTAGCAGTTGTTCTGTAGTCTCCTAGCCCCTACCCCAGGGCCACACCTTCCCCATGGTCTCTCACATTCTTTTTTTTTTTTTTTTTTTTTTTTTTGAGACAGGGTCCTGCTGTTGCCCAGGCTGGAGTGAGTGCAGTGCTGCAAACTCAGCTTACTATAGCCTCGACCTCCTGGGCTCAAACAATCCTTCTGCCTCACCCTCCTGTGTAGTTCGGATCACAGGCACATGCCACCATGCTTGGCTAATTTTTTGACTTTGTAGAGAGGGCATCACACTTTGTTTCCCAGGGTGGTCTTGAATTCCTGGGCTCAAGTGATCCTCCCACCTCAGCCTCCCAAAGTGCTAGGATTATAAAGATGTGATCCGCCGCCCCGGCCTCTCTCACATTCTTGGCATTTAAAGTTACCGTCATTGACAAGGAACATGGGTACACTCCAATTTACTCAAGAAAAAAACTCTTTTCTCCATTGAAGAGATATGTGGCCTGGCTGCTTCCTACTCTAGTTGAGGTCTTCTTTTTGTTTCCTTTTTCTTCTTCTCTCTTGTTTTTTAGAGACGAGGTCCTGCTGCGTTGCCCAGGCTGGTCTCAAAGTTCTAGCCTCAAGAGACCCTCCTGCCTTGTCCTCCCAAAGTGTTGGGATTACAGGTGTGAGCCACTCTGTCCAGCCTCAAACTGTGGTCATTAGATCAGCAGCAGCAGCAGCCTTGCCTGGGAGCTTGTTAGAAATATACTAACAGGCTCCCACCCCCAAACCCAGACCTACTGAATCAGACAGAGTCTGTATTTTCATAAGATCCTCAGATGATCCAAATGCGCCTTAAACTTTGAGGAGCTTTGATCCAGAACCTGGGCTGGAGGCCCCTGGGGGCCACTCTGTTCCTCACAGACTGCAAGGTATGTTTTTTTCTTGCCTCTTCTCTCTGTCCTAATGTCTCCTTCTCTCTGTGTCTGACCCTGAGGACCCTATGACATCTTCCCAGGGGAGTTTCCACTGTCAAAGAGCTGATTCTCTCTCTCTTTTTTTTTTTTTTGAGACGGAGTTTCGCTCTTGTTGCCCAGGCTGGAGGGCAATGGCGTGATCTCGGCTTACCGCGACCTCTGCCTCCCAGGTTGAAGCGATTCTCCTGCCTCAGCCTCCCGAGTAGCTGGGATTACAGGCATGCATCACCACGCCCAGCTAATTTTTTGTAGTTTTAGTAGAGACAGGGTTTCTCCATGTTGGTCAGGCTGGTCTCGAACTCCTGAACTCAGGTGATCTGCCCACCTCAGCCTCCCAAAGGCATGAGCCACCATGCCCTACTGCCAGAGGCCTGATTCTCTAGAATCTGATGGGCTCTTCTAGACAGCAATCTCTACCTGGGCTCTTGTTGAAGAAGCCAATCAGCTCATTGGTTGGAGGTCACATGATATAAAACATGGCCATCTTCCAAGCCCTATGTGTGGACAACGAGATAGGGACAAGTAGGCATATCACGTTCTGATACCTGGACCCACATCTGTCGCTGGGCCCACGTCTGTCCTCAGGCCCCCAGGATATACTTTTATGGGGAGTTTTCCTCCCTTCCCCCAATGTGGTCACTCATAACTTTACACCCAACAGTCAAACAGGAGTGGAAGCTACAGAGTTTCACGCAAACAATAGGCTAGGCTGTGGGACTGAGTAAAAGGCACTGGACTGTGGTAGGTCTTACTCCAAGATGGCCAAATGGAAGGGCTTTTAGCTTTCTTTGTTTTTGTTTTATATCCTGAGACAAAATGTTCAATTTCTACACTTTAGAATAAAAAGAGCCATATTTTATGTTTCATATTTTTTGTATGCTTCCTTTCATACTCTTTTGAACAATGCAATCATATTTTCATTATGAGGTATAATTCACATACCATAATATCCGCTCTTTCAAAATATACTTTAAAATTCAATTGGTTTAAAGCCAATTCATTGGTTTTTAGTATATTAACAAAGTTTTGTCACCATCACAATTATCTAATTCTAGATCATTTTCATCACCCCTAAAAGAAACTCTGTACCCATTAAACAGTCACTCCCCATTTCCCTCTTCTCCTAGCCCCTGGTAACCATTCATCTACTTTCTACCTCTGTGGACAGTAAGTATCTGCCTATTCTGGACATTTCATTCAAATTTAATAATGAAATATGTGAGCTTTTATGACTGGCTTCTTTCATTTAACATAATGGTGTCAAGGTTCATTCATGGTGTAGCATATAACAGTACTTCATCCCTTCCTGTGGCTGAATTATATTCCATTTTATGTATACACCACATTCTGTTTATCCATTCACCAGTTGATGGACTTTTGCATTGATTCTACTTTTCAGCTATTGTGAATCCCCATGCTGTGATGAACATTCACGTACAAGTTTTTGTCTGGACATATGTCTTCAGTTGTCTTGGGTATACACCTAGGAATGGAATTGCTGGATAATATAATTCTATGTTGGCCGGGCACGGTGGCACATGCCTGTAATCCCAGCACTTTGGAAGGCTGAGGTGGGTGGATCACCTGAGGTCAGGAGTTCGAGACCAGCCTGGCCAACATGGCGAAACCCCGTCTCTACTAAAAATACAAAAACTAGCTGGGCATGGTGGTGCCTGCCTGTAATTCCAGCCTGTAATTCCAGTTACTCAGGAGGCTGAGGCAGGAGAATTGCTTGAAACCAGGAGACGGAGGTTGCAGTGAGCCGAGATGGCACCACTGCACTCTAGCGTGGGTGACAGAGCAAGAATCTGTCTCCAAAAAAAAAAAAAACAAAAAAAACAAAACAAAACTAACCCATATATATATAATATGTTATATATACATAATAATATATTTTATATATATGTGTATATATGTTTAACTTTTGGAGGAACTGCAAGCTGTTTTCCAAAGCGGTTATACATTTTACATTCTCAGCAGCAGCACACAAGGGTTTCAATTTCTTCACACATCCTCAACAATACTTTTAATCTGTCTTTTCTGTTATACCCCTCATAGAGTGTGTGAAGTGATATCTCATTGTGGTTTGATTGGCAATGTCTTGATTATAGTATCTTTGTACTAAGTTTTGAAATTGGGAAGCATGAGTCCTACAGCTTTTTCTTTTTCAAAATTATTTTGAAGATTCTGAGTCACTTTAATTTCCAAATGAATTTTAGGGCCAATTTGTCAGTTTGTGCAAACAGGCCAAGTGGAATTTTAATGCAGACTGTGTTGAATTTGACATCTTAACATTACTACACCTTCCAATCATGAACATGGGATGTCTTTCCATTTATTAAGGTCTTCTTTAAGTTTTCCCCCAACTTTTAAATTATGAAAACATTTAAAATCCAGAAAATGAAAGGACTAGTACAACAGCACTAATATATGCAACCCCAGTTTCAACTTACTGTTTTTTGAACATAAGATACCAACATCATGACACCCCACCTAAGGACTTTTTAGCAAAACATTCTAATTTCTCTACTGGGATTATTGTTTGTTGTCTTCCTCCACAATAATGTGAGCACTAAAGGTAGAGACTTTTGCGTACTTTGTTCACTACTGCTTCCTCTGCACCAAAAACACTGCCTGGTTGTGGGTACTTTTCTAGTTTTAGGAAGGAGAAGACAAGATATAGGTCCTGACTCTGGTTCTGCCTCTCATTCATATGCTACTCCGAGGATCCCTTCCCCTTGAAGAACTTGTTTCTTCATCTACGAAATGGGGATAATACTACTACTCATCAGGGTGGTTGTGAGGATTAAACAAGGTAAGAGATGTAAAATTGCATGTTAGTTATCAGATAGTTTTGTTTTCCCATCTAGCTCCATGAGGGAGAGGATTTGCTCTAGTCCGTCCGTCTGGGCTCTGGGCTTCTAATGGGCAGACACCTTCCTCCATGATGTTTGTAGCTGCAAAGCCTGGCACAGTCCCTCAAGACAAGCTTTTTGACTTGAACTGCTGATGGTCTTCCATGCACAATTCAACAGAAACCCAGTAGCATACACTTCCTTGTATGCACTTGCCCCTCTTTTTACATTTATTACACATTCATTGCTACCTAATAATCCCCGATACTTATCTTTTACTTTATCCAATTATTCAACAGTTTTCAACAGAAATACCTAGAAGAGAGCTATTCCGACTTCATTAGACCCTGAGATTCTATTTTTAACATTTCTTCCATGGATTGTTGAATGTTTCCAATGATTGATCCACCTTCCCTTGGCCTTATCTGCATTCCAGATTTGGTTGTGTGTCCATCTCTGTGTTGCCAGACTTACCTCACAGACCCAGCTTGAACACAAGATGGGTGCTTGCTGAAGAGCAGGACTCATTCTGTTGAACCTGCATGCTTTCTCAGGTCAGATTGCTTGGTGGTGCTTCTTTAATTTCTTTCAACAGCACATTGTAGTTTGCTGTGTTTAAGTGTTGCTTTTCTTTGGTTAAAGTTATTCTAAGTATTTTATTCTTTTTGATGCTATTGTAAATGAAAGTGTTGTTTTAATTTTGTTTTTGATCCTTTACTGCAAATGTATACTATTGATTTTTGTGTATTAATCTTGTATCCTGCAACCTTGCTGAACTTGCTTATGAGCTCTAATGGTTTTTAAGTGAGTTCCTTAGGAGTTCCTATAATGTCATCTGTGACTAAAGATAGTTTTACTTCTTTCTTTCCGATCTGGATTCCACCTTGTTCCTTTTTCTTGCCTAATTGCCCTAATAAATAGAAGTAGTATGAATGAACATTCTTGTCCTGCTCTTGATCTTGAGGGGAAACACTCAATCTTTCACAAGGAATGAAGTATGGTGTTTATAGGTTTTTCATAGATGCTCTTTGTCAGGCTGAGGAAGTTCCTTTCTAGTCTTCATCTGTTGAGTAATTTTATCATAAAAGGATGTTAGATTTTGTCAAATGCCTTCTCTGCATTAGGATGATCATGTGACTTTCTATTAATATGAAGTGCTATATGGATTGGTTTTTGTACATTGAACCACATTTGTACTCCTGGGATAAATCCTACCTGGTCAATGTGTATAATCCTCTTAATATGCTGCTGAATTTGATTTGCTAATATTTTGCTGAGGATATTTACATCTATATTTATAAGGATATTGCTTTGTAACTTTATTTTCTTATAATGTGTTTTTCTGTCTTTGGTATCAGGGTAATGCTGGCCTCATAGAATGAGTTGAAAAATATTTCTTCCTGTTCTATTTTTTAGAAGAGTTTTTGAAGGGTTGGTGTCAATTCTTCAAGCTTTTGGTTGAATTCACCAGTGAAGCTATCTGGTCCTGGACTTTTCTTTGTAGGGATTTCATTTATTGATTTATTGATTTATTTTTTGAGACGGAGTCTCGCTCTGTCACCCAGGCTGGAGTGCAGTGGTGCGATCTCGGCTCACTGCAAGCTCCGCCTTCCTGGTTCACACCATTCTCCTGCCTCAGCCTCCCGAGTAGCTGGGACTACAGGTGCCCACCACCACGCCCCATCTAATTTTTTTGTATTTTTAGTAGAGATGGGGTTTCACTGCATTAGCCAGGATGGTCTTGATCTCCTGACCTCGTGATCCGCCCACCTCAGCCTCCCAAAGTGCTGGGATTACAGGCATGAGCCACCGCGCCCGGCTTTTTGGTAGGATTTTAAAAAAATTAATATTTTAATATCTTTACTTTTACAGGTCTATTCAAATTTTATCTTCCTTCTTAAGTCCGTTTTGGTAGATTGCATGTTTCTAAAATTTTCTCATTTCATCGAGGTTATCTCATTTGTTCACATACAATTATTCATAGTATTTCTTTATAAACCTTTGTACTTCTCTAATACCAGTAGTGATGTGTCCATTTTCTTTCTTTCTGGTGTCTGGTTTTTTGGTTTTTGTTTTTTTTGTTTTTTTTTTTGATATAAGGTTTTCCTATGTTACCCAGACTAGAGTGCAGTGGTGCAATCACAGCTCAATGTAACCTTGAATTCCTGGGCTAAAGTGATCCTCCCACCTTAGCCACCCAATTTGCTAGGACTACAGGCGCGCACCAACACACTCAGCTAATTTTTTCTTTCTTTTTTTTTTTTGAGACGAAATTTTGCTCTTGTCACCCAGGGTGGAGTGCAGCAGTGTGATCTTGGCTCACTGCAACTCTGCTTCTTGGGTTCAAGCGATTCTCCTGCCTCAGCCTCCCGAGTAGCTGGGATTACAGGCGCCTGCCACCATGCCCAGCTAGTTTTTTATTTTTACTAGAGATGGTGTTTCACCATGTTGGCCAGGCTGGTCTGAAACTCCTGATATCAGGTGATCCGCCCGTCTCAGCCTCCCAAAGTGCTGGGATTACAGGCATGAACCACTGGGCCTTGCCTCCTAGCTAATTAAAAAAAATAAATAACTCTTTTTGTAGAAACAAGTCTCACTATGTTGCCCAGGCTGGTCTCAATCTCTTGGCCTCAAATGATCCTCCTGCCTCGGCCTCCCAAAGTCCTGGGATTACAGGTGTGAGCCATTGCACCCATCCTCCACTTTCTTGGTGAATAATTTGAGTCTTATTTTTTCACTTGGCCATTCTAACTAAAGGTTTGCCAAGTTTTGTTGATCTTTTCAAAGATCCAATTTTTGGTTTCTTTGATTTTCTCTATTGTTTTTCTGTTTTCCATTTCATTTATCTCCATTCTAATCTTTATTATTTCCTGTCTTCTATTGGTGTTGGGTTTATTTTGCTCTTATTTTTCTAGTTCCTTAAGGTGTAAAGTTAGGTTATTGATTGAAGATTGTTCTTCTTTAACTTAGGTGTTTACAGCTATAAATTTTGCTCTTAGCACTGCTTCTGCTGCATCCTATAAATTTGGGCATGTTGTGTTTTCATTTTTATTCATTCAAGATACTTTTTAATTTCCCTTGTGGTTTTGTCTTTGACCCATTGGTTGTTTAAGAGTGTGCCGTTTAATTTCTATGTGCTTGTGAGTTTTCTAGTTTTCCTTTTGTTCTTGATTTTAAACTTTATTCCACTGTGTCCAGAGAACACCCTTTGTATGATTTCAATCTTCTTAAATTTGAGACTTAGGACCAAATATATGCTCTATACTGGAGAATATTCCATGTGCTCTTTAGAAGAATGCTTATTCTGCTCCTGTCGGGTAGAACGTTCTGTTCATGTCTAGTGTGTGCAATTGGTTTACAGTGCTTTTCAAGTCCTCTATTTCCTTGATGGTCTTCTGCAGTTTTTCTATTACTGAAAGTGGGGGCCAGGTGTGGTGGCTCACGCCCCGAATCCCTTTGGGGATTCAGGGTGGCTCAGCACTTTGGGAGGCTGAGGCGGGCGATTTGCCTGAGCTCAGGAGTTCGAGACCAGCCTGGGCAATACAATGAAACCCTGTCTCTACTAAAATACAGAAAAAAATTAGCTGGGCATGGCGGCATGTGCCTGTAATCCCAGCTACTCAGGAGGCTGAGGCAGGAGGATTGCTTGAACCTGGGAGGTGGATGTTGCAGTGAGCTGAGATCGCACCACTGCACTCCAGCCTGAGTGACAGAGTGAGACTCCATCTCAAAAAAAAAAAAAAAAAAAAAAAAAAGTCAGGTATTGAAGTCACCAACTATTATTACTGACAACGTAATCATATTTAACCCTTTACTTTTAAAATTCTTTTTGGAAACTGGAAGGATCTGTAACCACCACCCACTTCCACATCAGACCCTATGCATACGCCAACTGTCTGTTGCTCAGCAGCTGTGATGTTGTTCCAGTTCTTTATTAGGCAAAGAACAGTTGTTTTTTTAGCATTTCCTTTAAGGAAGGTGGCTCAGATCATTGAGCCAGCCAGGCCCTGCAGGATGGGCTGCGATTAGGGTCACAAGTACTTCTCCCGAAACTCACAGATTTTCCTCGTGACCATTGGATCCAATGTTGAAAAGTCCCAGTCGGCCAACTGCATTAGTCGATCATGGGCCTCCCTAAAGAGGCCACAGCCAATATTCAGCTCCACCCGCATACGCCACTCAGCTAGCTTGGAGCTGTTGAGGAAGACATTATAGTTGGCTGCCATGGGCTGTGGATAGACAAAGACGAAGATGTGGTCAGCCTGGGGACCAGCCCCACCTGGGTCCTCTCCCACAGCCTCTGGCCCACGTCCCTAACATCTACCTATGGAAAGAATTAGGCTGCTGACCCCCAAGGCCTGAGCAAGGGGTCACAGACTATGTAATAGATGTAGGTGGGGATGGAGGATCCAGAATCCCTCAGAGTCCTCAGTCACTGGTCTTCTTGCTCCAAGCCTTCTGAACCACACTGAGAGGGCTCCTGGCCCAGGCAGCTCCCACTTCTCCAGCCTGCGACCTCGCATGAATCCTGCCTTCTTCCAGGGAAACCCCTTATCCCAGGTGTGTATATGCGGATGAGGGAGAGAACTCAGGTTTTTTCCTCCATGTTTAGACTCCCACTATGATCAAGCTCAGGGGCTAAGATGGGAGACCTGGCGGGCAGTCTACCCTGCAGTTTCGCTGGCTCACTAAGACAGTCTACCCTGTAGTTCCGTTTGCACCCAAGATCTTTGGGAAGCCAAAGAAGGGGTGGGTCGTTGGTGAAATGTAAGGGGTGGGGACGAAGTATATGGCTGAACCCTTGGGGCAGGCCAGAATGATTTTTCCTGGTGCTGGTCTGCCCTGCAAACAGACCAAAGAGACTAATTTTCGTATCAACCAGAGATCTCTGCAATAGGGAAAAGAACACTGTATTTCCTGGTCAATCCACCAGGATCCCAGGTGCCTCCTCCTGGCATATCTCTGGCTGATATGCAAATTAGTCTCTTTGGTCAGTGTGCAGTGCCCTAGCTGGTGTGCAGGATGGCCAGTTGAGACCCTGGCCAGTGTCTTGACAAGCAGAACTGGTCACCCTCCCCTGCATGTAGAGGCCACATAAATGCCCCACACTCAGGTGTGCCTCCAAATGCACAGTGGATGCCCCTCAGACCCAGCCACGAGAGCTGTCCTCCAGAGCTGTCTGTCTGGAGCTCTGGGAAACAGGCAGGGCCAGAAGGACACCCAGGAAGCCAGTGAACATTTCCTGGAGAGTCCAGCAAGAGGAGGAGGTATCTGGGATGCTGGTGGATTGAGCAGGAAATGCAGTGTTCTTCTCTATCCCAGGCTCACCCTCCGGGTCCTCCCACACCGAAGAATCTTTGTCAAGTGTGGAGAACTGTGATCCTTCCTGATTCATAACATTCTGTGCTTCCTGTTGCCCCGATTGAGTCCAGGCCCCCAGGCCTGGTTCCCGCAGCCCCCATGGCAGCTCTGCCTGCCTTTCCCGCCTCACCAGCCTATCCTCAAGTGATGGCCCCATTGGTCACAGAGGAGTCCTACCTCTGCCCAGGGTCTAACCCTCCTCCAATCCACTCCACACCTGCATCATCTCCACCACGGCCACCAGGTCAGCCAGTGAGATTTGGTTCCCGGTGATGAACATCTTATCCTGCAGAAAATACTCCTCAAAGAGCTGCAGGCTGTTCTTCACCTCTTCCACTGCATGCTCCATCTTCTCAGCTGAAACTTCCTTCCCTGTTATCTTTGGGATCAGCAACTGGCCAGGGTTGGGAAGAGGAGGGAAGAGGAGGCTGTACTCCAGGGCCACCTGCCCTGCCAGGTCTCTGTACTCTTGTCTGCTGGATAGATATTGAACACTTCCCAGGATATAAAGCAGTTTCACCTCTTTTAGCAGTTCTGATTGGTGGAAGGTGCCGGGAACCATGCGTTCACAAGGATTTGGGGAGCTCAGCAGGCATAAGTCCTGTGATTGATTAGTGATGCCGGTCACAGGCATGGAATTTGAAGTAGAGACACGTGTACTGGTTATTTGTCATCTTCCAATTTTCTTTTTTCTTCTTTTTTTTTTTTTTTTTTTTTTTTTGAGACGGAGTCTCACTCTGTTGCCCATGCTGGAGTGCAGTGGCGGGATCTTACCTCACTGCAACCTCCGCCTGCTGGGTTCAAGAAATTCTCCTGCCTCAGCCTTTGGAGTAGCGTGGATTACAGGCACATGCCAGCATGCCTGGGTAACTTTTATATTTTTAGTAGAGATGGGGTTTCACCCTGTTGGCCAGGCTGTTATTGAAGTCCTGACCTTGTGATCCGCCCACCTCGGCCTCCCAAAGTGCTGGGATTACAGGCATGAGCCACTGTGCCCGGCCATCTTCAAATTTTCTATGAGCCATTTTTTTTTTTTTTTTTGAGATGGAATCTCACTTTGTCACCCAGGCTGGAGTGCAGTGGCATGATCTCGGCTCACTGCAACATCCACTTCCCTGGTTTAAGCGATTCTCCTGCCTCAGCCTCCTGAGCAGCTGGGATTACAGGTGCCCACCACCACACCAGCTAATTTTTTTTGTATTTTTAGTACAGACAGTGTTTCACAATGTTGGACAGGTAGGTCTTGAACTCCTGACCTCAAGTGATCCACCTGCCTCGGCCTCCCAAAGTATTGGGATTACAGGCGTGAGCACTGCTCCTGGCCTTCTGTGGGCCTTTTGACGCTGAGATTCTCTAGTTCAGAATGAAATGCCTCGAATGCTGTCCTGGGTGAGTCACATCAGCCCCTCCCGTATGCCCTTCCCCTCGCCCTAATAAGACTCTTTCATGCCCATTGTTTCAGTCCACACTCCTGACGGCTCTGTAAGGCGGGCAGGAGAAGGAGCTGAGGAAATGAGGCCCAGAGAGGGAGGGAGACTTGCTTGAGGTCGCCGGCAGTCAGCAGGGCCAGAACTGGCCTCCAGCCTTCCTGACTTCCCTGTGCCCGTGTCCCCAAGCCCCAGAAGTGGCCCTGCTCACCTTGAGCCAGACTATCTTCTTCATGGGCAGCTGAAAGGCCGTGTGTTGCCAAGCCACGAACTCATCCACACGGGCACGTGCGTGCGGGTCTGGCGGGCACCAGTGCGATGGTGCGCTGTACTTGCGGCACAGGTAGTAAAGGATGGCCGCGCTGCAGAAGGGGCCGGTCAGGGGCACTGCCCTTGCCTTCCTGAGTGCCACTACATCAACCACCCCGGTGTGGCCTGGGCCCAACTGCTGGGGCTTCCAGAGCAAAGAGGAGCCCAAACGGCCCCGAGAAAGACCTTCACCAGAGCTGTCTGTCTGACAGTCAGTAAGGGCTGGGAAGGAGCCCTGCGGGGTGAGTAGGAGTTGGGGGCTGGTGGTATAACAAAGAGTAGGCCAGCAGGGGGAACAACACGTGTTGAATTGGGATGCTGAGGTGGGAGGATCACTTGATCCCAGGAATTTGGGGCTACTGTGAGCCAAGATCACACCACTGCACTCCAGCTTGGGTGAAAGATCAAGATCCTTTTTCAAAAACAAAAACGGGGGGGCACGATGGCTCACACCTGTAATCCCGGCACTTTGGGAGGCCAATGGGGGCAGATCCCTTGAGGCCAGGAGTTGGAGACCAGCCTGGCCAACATGGTGAAACCCTGTCTCTACTAAAATGAAAATACAAAAATTAGCTAGTTGTGGTGGCACACACCTGTAATCCCAGCTACTTGGGAAGCTGAGGCACGGGAGTCACTTGAACCTGGGAGGCAGAGGTTGTAGTGAGCCAAGATTGTGCCACTGTACTCCAGCCTGGGCCACAGAGCAAGACTCTGTCTCAAAAAACCAACAAAGAAAAACACATGCTGAAATACGAGGGTAAAGGGAGCAAGGTAAATCTGAAGAAAAGAGAGTAGGGGGTTGCAACTGGAAGAAGGGTGGGGGTGATTGGGGAGTGATGAGGCAGCCAGAGACACTGTGGAGTCCACGGAGGGTAGCCCCTGGAGGTGCAGGGAGGTTATGGACTTAATGCTTAAGATTAGGCATTATATAAGCCAGGGCATGAAAGGATCCATCTCTCTGGTGCTGGATGGAGGGTGAGCCCGAGGGGGCAGAATGGACAATGAGGGGGCCAGCAACTATCGGGAAGGTTGTGGTGTCTGGGAATGTTGGAGGCCATGGGGACAGAGGGAAGGGGATGGAGGGGAGACATGCTTCGGAGGGGATGTCCTAGGCCTTGCTGATTGATGGCTGGTGTGGGAACCTCCGCAGCACAAGGGCTCCTTTATCATCACCAGCAGCAACCATGCCAAGGTAAAAAGGTCAGGGCATGGAGAGAGCTATCGGTTAAAAAGTGGCAGGAGAGACAGCAACTGGCTGCAAGACTCAGAACTTCTTGGCTGGGCACGGTGGCTCACGCCTGTAATCCCAGCACTCTGGGAGGCCGAGGCGGGGGGATCATGGGGTCAGGAGATCGAGACCATCCTGGTTAACACAGTGAAACCCCGTCTCTACTAAAAATACAAAAAAATTAGCCAGGCATGGTGGCGGGCACCTGTAGTCCCAGCTACTCAGGAGGCTGAGGCAGGAGAATGGCGTGAACCCGGGAGGCGGAGCTTGCAGTGAGCCAAGATAGCGCCACTGCACTCCAGCCTGGGCAACAGAGCGAGACTCCGTCTCAAAAAAAAAAAAAAAAAAAAACTTCTTTGGATCCTGATCCAAACAAACTGCCAAGAAAATGTTTAGGAGATAATCATAGAGTTTTGAACAGGAGCCACATATTAGATGAAATCCAGGAATTATTGTTAATTTTATGAGGTATCTTAATGGTATCGTAGTGATGCTACGCTCTATCCTAGCCCAGGCTGGAGTGCAGTGGCGCAATCAGAGTTCACTGCAGTTCTGAACTTCCTGGCCTCAAGCGATCCTCCCGTGTCAGCCTCTGGAAGTGCTCGGATTATAGGCATGAGCCACCACACCCAGCCTGTTGCTTTTTTTTTGTTTGTTTTAAGAACTCTTATCTCTGAAAAGTATGTTCCTAAACATTTATTGATTTATTTACTTATTTATTTTTATTTTTGAGATGGGATCTCACTCTGTTGCCCACGCTGAAGTGCAACGACGCAGTCTTGGCTCACTGCATCCTCTGCCTCCTGGCTCAAGCAGTCTTTCCGCCTCAGCCTCCCGAGTAGCTGGGACTACAGGTGCAGACCACCATGCTGGCTAATTTTTGTATTTTTTGTAGAGATGGGGTTTTGCCATGTTGTCTAGGCTAGGCTGGTCTTGAACACGTGAGCTCAGGCCATCCCCTCACTTCAGCCTCTCAAAGTGCTAGAATTACAGGCATGAGCTGGCTTCTAAACATTTATGAATGGAATGATGGGGTGTCTGGGAGGCAGGGGAATAGAAATGATGTAAACTGGACCCCAAGTTGGCAAGAGTCAGAGCTGGGCGATGGATTTGTGGGGTTCCTCGTGTCCCTCATTAGTTAGTATTCACTCTCCTTTAGTGCACGTGTGAGATTTTCCATGGTCAAACAGACAAATGCTTGCACTGAACCTCCCAGGAGAAGCAGAGACAGATGGTGCAAGGGCCCCAGGGAAGACTTACCTTTCACTTAAGATAAATTTCCCATCTTTGAGGCTGGGCAGCTTCCTGAGGGGGTTGATGTCAATGTATCCTTTGCTGTGGTGGTGACCTGGGAGGGGCAGGGAAGGTCTGAGGCTGTGGGACTCCAGGGGAGAGAGAACTGAGACTCCCAGAGACCCAAACGCCTCCCTCTCTATTTTCTCAAGAAGAGGGAACTGAGGCCCGGAGGGACATTGCGTCTCACCCCAGGTCACAGGGCAAGGCAGTTGCAGAACCGGACTGCGATCAGAACTGCTGGCTCCCAGCCTGCTCCACCCTAGGTTTGGTGACTCCCGTGCCTCCTACCTGTGTCCCAGGACCAGGACGACCCTTTTACCCAGAAGCCGGAGGCCTCCAGTGCCCACCCCCAAAGCTGGATCTGAAAACACAGCCTTTGAATCACCTGAAGCCCTGAGGGCCTGGGTCCCATCCGCAATCCCATCGCTCTCACTCTGTCTCCACTTTAAGGAAGCCAGGCCCAGCACACAGCTGGACATCCAAAGGGAAGCTTCTCGGACACAATCAGGGTCATCTTAACAGGGAACCTGAGGTGGGGGCAGGAACTGAAACTCTTCCTGGACCAGCCGCCTCCAGTTGGAAACATTTCTGGGGGCTCCACTCGCAGCCCGTTCATTTCCACAGCTTCCCTGTCTCTTCCTCTGTGTTCTAGAGGCTTCTGCTTTTGCAGGCTGAGCTTTTGGAGTCCCTCTGTGCTGGGGATGGAGTTGGAGCCCACCCCTCTGACCCTCACTCAGGGTTAGTGGAGCCCTGAGCCTTTCTGAACACTGGGGAGGATGGGTGTAGACGGACTGTGCACTTCTGCCCCCTTTGCCAACCTGGTGGGCAGGTGCTGAGTTCACAAGGTCCTAGAATCCCACAAGGAAGCCAGGGTGCCTGGTGGGAGCCCAGGGAGTCCCAGCTACTGTTCCTTCCCCCTTCTCCTCGAAAAGCCTGTTCATCTGTGGCGTGGGGACTGTCATTAGTGAGCACTGACTAAGGTAGGCTGGACAAGGATGCAGCCTACAAGCCGCGTGGCATCTTTTCCTTCCCTGTGGACCTCTGGGGTGATTCCCTTGTCTCTGTCTCTGCTCCTCAGAAACGCCCCTATCAGGCTGTGCGCGGTGGCTCACGCCTGTAATCCCAGCACTCTGGAGGCTGAGGTGGGCAGATCACTTGAGGTCAGGAGTTTGAGACCAGCCTGGCCAACATGGTGAAACCCCTGTTAAAAATACAAAAAATTAGCTGGGCGTGGTGGCATGCACCTCTAATCCCAGCTACTCGGGAGGCTGAGGCAGGAGACGCACTTGAACCCAGCAGAGGTTGCAGTGAGCCGAGATAGCACCACCGTACTCCATGCTGGGCAACAGAGCGAGACTCCATCAAAAAACAAGAAAAAAAGAAAAGCCGCAATCTGTGTGTCCTGCCTCCCCCCAGGACCAGGCCTGCCAGGCAGCAGTGGGAGTTGACCTTTCAGCAGATCCACAAACTGAAAGTTGAACTGGATGTCATGCTTCTTCGAGAAGATGTAGACGGCACGGCAGGGTGCTGACAGCAGGTCCATGTAGAGCTCCAGTGCCATGTTGAGACACATGCCAGGCCCCACAGCCGCAGTTGGCCAGCCACAGACCTGGGCCTATGTCTGGCCAGAGTCCCTGGCCCTGTGCCCTCTCCGATCTGGGCCCAGGATCCTGTGTTCCCCAGGGAAACCTCTTGTTTCCCTTTGTGTTGTCATAAGGCCAGGAAGCCTGCAATTCTCACAGCATCAAGGATTCTAAGGAGGCCCAGGAGTAGGCTGGGGAGAGGCCCGTGGCAAAGGTGTGGCAGCCGTGACCCTACTCTCCCCCTTCCACGTGTGCCTGTGCCCCGTGGTGCCACCTCACAGACACCAGTCTGAGAAGGGATTATGCCTGGGAATTCCCACGGCTGGATTTTCATTGCAGAACCTGACGAAAGGGGCTTTGCAGGGTCCAGAATGAAGAGGAGGCAATGAGAATTATCCCTGGAGGATTCTAGAAGTAGAGGCTGGGAGTATCCACAGGTAAATCGAGCCTGAACTATGACTAGAAAGGAATTGGGAGAAAGAGACACAGGTGAATCGAGCCTGAACTATGACTAGAAAGGAACTGGGAGAAAGAGACACAGGAAACTGTGAGCTTTGGGAGCAATGGGGACACCACCACCAGGAAGTCAGGGGGCACTCAGCCGGTGTGTGCCACACAGAGGAGCCTAGAAACTTCCTGGCCTTGGTTGGGGCTGCAGTGGCCAGACTGTGTACCTGGTGGCCAAGGAAGGTAACTAGAGCCCCACGTAGAGGACTGAGTGCCACTCACTCTATGCTGTGATCTAATAGGTCTAGGCTGAGAAATGGGACTGACCCCACTTCTGGTGACAGAGTAAGCCTGGAGACAAGCGAAGAGCATGCAGTGTGTTTATTGCAGACAGCAGGGTGCAGTGGAGTGGGCTGCACCCACTGCACCTGCTTCTGGGCCAGCTGGGGGTCCCGCCAAGCCTCACTGTGGTTCAGAGGCTGGAGTATGAGCTTGTGGGCCTCCAGCAAGAGCTCAGTACCAAGGGCAGCCGCCACACGGGCCTGCCACACTGCCAGCCGGGGCAGTCTTGGAAGAGGTCGCAGCCAACGGCAGTGGGCTGGGAAGACAGGGCAGCTGGGGTTGGGGCTCAGCCCCATGCCCAGAGTCCCCCCAGAGGGCAGGTGGGTAGGAAAGCTTCACCTGCATCACCTCCGTCAGCACCAAGTCTTCCAGGGAGATCTGCTCCATTGCCAGGAAGGGCCTGGCCACCAGCACCCCCCAATCCAGGTGCTGCAGGGCTGGCATCAGCCTCCCCAACAGCCGCTCCAGCTGTGCAGCATCTGCAGGCTGTCCGGAGAAGTGGGGCAGGAGAGACTGGGCTGGGAGGAGAGGAGCAACTTAACCCAGACTCTTGGAAGCCTCTTGGGCCTCCTCTCCATCCCTTCCCGGCTGCCACTCATTAGTGATGTCCTCTGGGGCTCTGTGTTCAGAAGGTTTCTAAGGATTCATTCAGGCTTAGGGGAAGGAGTACTGTGATAGATTAGTTATGTCTGCTGAGGACAGTGGAAGTGAAGCTAATATGTAATATGTACCAACTGGTGCCTTCCATCTCTGGGGGTCCAGGCCCCTGCCCCAGCCTGCATGACAGGGCCTAGGAAGCTCACCTTGCACAGGTAGACATTGGTGGCAGGCAGCTGGATGGTGACATGCTTCCACGCCAAGTACTCATCCACGCAGGTGCGGGCTTGCAGCTCAGGTGGGTACCAGTGTCCCCGTATCTGGTACTTTCGACTCAGGTATAAAACGATGACCATGCTGTGGGCAGGGGGTGTCAGAGATCTTTTCTCCAGCCTGTCAGGGCCAGGTGGCTTCATTGCTCATACTCAGGGTGATTTGACCAGGTTTTCTCCCCACCTTCACCTTCAGGGGAGGACCTCCCCTATACTGCAACTCCCTCCAGGCAGTATCTCCCCACGACCAAACCACTCTGTTTCTCCATTTCCAACTCTGATCCTCCCTGGGCCCATGTTTCCACCTCCCCTCCCAGTTACCATACCATCCTGCCCTCTGTGCCCAGGCCCCACTCCCTGGCATCAGGGTCCCCACTCAGAGTGCCTGCCGTGTGGGCCCTGCCCAAAAGGTCTCCAAGTTCCCTTCCTAGTGCCCCAGAACACTAGGTGCCCATTTTCTATCCTCAGGTAAGCCCTGGGAGGTGGATACATTATTCCTCCCACTCCGTTTTACAGAGGAGAAACCTGGCACACAAAGTTCTGTGATTTCCCCAAGGGCATGGATTGAGGAAGTGGTGAGCTGGGATTGAATGTGGAGTCTCCCCTGGGTCTGCCCAGCTCCTAGGACTCTGAAAGGATGAGCTGGGGACATTTGGGGAGGAGCCAGCCTCAAGCCTGGGCCTTGCCCGCTGGCTTCAGGTTGTCCAGGTTTATCCGGGTGACCTACGTCCTTTCCCCACCTGGGCAGCTCCAGCTGGCTCAGACTCTAGCCAGGTTCCAGCCTCCAGCTTTAGCCCAAAGGTGCCCCTGGGTCCAGCCTCTGCATCGGAGCTACACAGGCTGAAATGAGGAAGGGGCCTCAGTGATTTGGAAAGATCTCCAAGCCAAGGAAAGATCTCCCCTCTCGCCTCTGCCTCCCCCTACAACTCTGAGCCCCAGAACCCAGGCAGATCCTGGCTCTGACCCTGGGTGGGCACCAGGTCACCATTACCTCTTTGCTAGTAGGAAGTCGCCATCTCTGAGGGCAGGCACCTTCCCCAGGGGGTTCACCTTCAGGAACTCAGGCTTCAGGTGCTCCCTTGGTGGGCAGAAAGGCGAGAAGGCTCAGTGTAGGGCCTGGTCCTTGGCACCCACTCCATGGGGCCCAGCCCAGCCACCTGGCTCACCCCAAGCCAACTCCACCATCCACAGCTCAAAAGGGATGTCATTCTGTCTTGCAAAAGTGGATAGTGTGTCAGGTCCAGGAAGAGCTCAAGCCCCATTGCTGCTCCTCTCACCTGCCCTCCCCAGAATTCTGGACCTCCAGGAGTTGCTCAGCCCTTCTCCACTAGTTCTGAGCTGTTTCCTGTCCATAGTCTGCTGTAGTGGGCCAGAGCACAGGGCAGATTTGTCTTCAGGGACTTTCTCTGGGCATTCCTGGGCAGAGAACTTCATCTTCTCTGTTAACTCTTGCTGATAATTCTCTGTAGCTAGGCACCTTGTAAAACCCATGTCCCAGAATGCCAAACCTGGAAATGCAATGTCAGCGCCGAAACTGCATTGAAACTGAATGAATGAGGTCCCCACCCTCTTATCTAAATATCCTATCAGTCTGTTGAATGTCAAAGTATGTAGGGGTGGTGTGGGGGAGCCTATAGGGAGTCTCCATTTCTGTAGCTTTCCACATGTTCCATGCAGAATTTTCCTCTAATGACCCTTGGACACCGTGGTGGTCACTGTTTCCCTGCATAAACCTTTGATGATCCTTATCTTTAGCGTACCAGTGAAACACCAAATTCAGATTTTCAGTCTGTGCAGTCTATGTAGTTAATAAAATCAATTTCTAATGGAATATGCCTGTGCCTGGTGTGTTTGTACCTAACCACTGCTAAGGACTTTCATTGATAGCTAGACCTTGGAGTTCCTTCCCCTGGACCCCTGACCCAAGTATTTTGCACTCATTCCTCTGCCAGTGTGTTTCATGGTGTCCTGCTTCCCAGAGTGCCTCAGGGAATGCTTGCATTGGATATAAATGAATCGTTGCGGTCACCATGGATGGGATTCAGGCCTAACTCTCACCAAGACCATAAGGCCACAGTCTTTGATATAGATTCCCCATGTTAAATCTGCCATCCTCAGTGTAGTGAGAGTGATATTGAGAGAGAAAAGTTAGGTAATTAAGGTGGGTCCTTGGTAAAACTCCTTTAAACAGAGGAACAGCCTGAAAAATCAGGCTTCAGGCACAGATAAGGAAACTTGCACAAACCTCTGGCTCACTCAGATAAAGGAACAATGCCCAACACAGAAACACCTTTGATCTTTGTGCCTAAGGCATGCCCACAGCTACTTTGATAAGGGAACAAGACCCAGCATAGAAATGCCTTTGTCCTTTGTATAACCAGTGGGCTTCCAGGAAATAGTCTCTTCTCCTTTTGTGGACATGTACACGGTGGGCTACAGTGGGTTCCAGTGGGCACTTTCCTTTCTTGGACGTGCTTTAGAATGTGAGCCTCTGATTGGTCCTGGGCCAGGCTATCACTTCAGCTCCTGATTGGTCCCTCAAGGTCCAGGGGCCAAGCTGAGTAGTGCTTTCTCCAAGACCAGTCAGTACATTCCTTCCTTTCCCAGTCCATAAAACCCCCTGACCCAGCCTCATAATGGGCAACCTGCTTGGGCCCCCCGCCAGCTGCAATGAGCTTTCTTCATTTGCTTATTAAACTTTTGCTTCAACCTTACCCTTTGTGTCCACACTCCCTAATTTTCTTGGTCGTGAGACAAAGAATTCTGGGTGATACCCCACAATGAGAGACTGGTACATTGTGGTGCACGGGCAAGACTGCAACAATATGTTTTCTGCTTGCTTGTTTGGACTGGCCTCTTCCTAACTCTCCAGAGTGCTCTCTCCCCACTGTGGCCCTGAGCTTTGCCTCACGGTAACACTGTGCTGCATGACACTCCAGCATGATCTGCATGTTTCTCACCTCCGGACCTTCCCCACACAACTTTCTTGCTGCTTGGACCACCCTTCCCACCTATTTTCAACTGTTTCTCTCCAGCGCATCTTTCATGATAAGGCTTGAGTGGAAGCTGTATCCGAGGCTGAAGGTTATCCATGCAGCTTTGAAACCATCTGTTTATGCTTCTGTTTACCCCCCAAATACTGTTTACCCCAATACTCAAAGTCAAGGTTGGTGACTCAACAATTTTCAGAACTTCTAGCTTATCAGTATAGCTTTATTGTACTGAACTGAGTTTTTCACCATGCTGTTACTGTCTTTGAGGTTAAAAAGCCCCCAACATTCACTCCTATTTGAATCATCTGTGCAAGACTCAAGCAGCTATGAATTCAACCACAGTGTAAAGTTCTTCCCTACAATGCTTTATTGTTATTCTAGCTCCCAAGAGAGTACCATCTTTCAGCCCAAGACCCTTGACAGAACCCCTTCAACTCTGTCGCCTTTTTTCATCTCTGGAATTCTGACACCACCCATGACCCCTCTTCTTGTTCATTTACTAGGTTTTGTTCCTTTTTTTCCTTTTGTTTCAATATCCTATTGTATCTGTTCCTTTTGGGCTTCACATCCTTTTTGGAAAGAGAGGCACAGGTAATATAATGAATGAGGATGCTCCTCCTCCCTGGTTCCCTCTAAGTCAAGTTTCTCCAACGCGCTGGTCTGCTTGGCTTTGAATGCGGCTCAACACAAATTCATAAACTTTCTTACAACATTTTGAGATTTTTTGGTGATTTTTATTTTTATTATTTATTTATTTATTAACTTATCAGCTATCCTTAGTGTTAGTGTATTTTATGTGTGGCCCAAAACAATTCTTCCAACGTGGCCCAGGGAAACCAAAAGATTGGACACCCCGCTCTAAGTGTTCCCCAAGTTTCCACTGTTTTCAGAGCACATGTCCCAGGTAATAACACACAGCCCATCATTTAGTGACTGCTCAGGGTGCAAGCTGTGGAGAAGAGAGTCCGACTACGAGCTGGTGCTCTAAGCCTCCAGCACGCTAGGACTGACGACGGGGATCCGGAAACAACAAGCTCCACTCCCGCAACACACACACACACACACACACACACACACACACACACACACACGCACACGCACACGCACACGCGCACGCGCGCACACACGCGCACACACGCGCGCACGCGCGCGCGCGCCGCCCAAGGGTAGCCGTCTGCAGGGCCCCAGCTAAGCAGCCCGCGGAGAGCGAGCGGCGCGTGCGCCCCCGCTGATTGGCTGGCACAACCGGCACCGGAGCCAATGGGAGCACGCCTTGTTGTCAGGCGCGCAGCCGGACGGCGCGGTGGTCGGGACAGACTGGCCGTTGCTGTGGAGACGCCTGGTGAGTTCCTGGAAGGCTGGTTTGAAGGCGGTGCCGGGGTGGGGGTGAGGCTCAGCAGAGCCCGGGGCACAGGCCGGAGGGGCTGCAGGCGCGAGGCTGGGTTACGTGAGGAAGCTGGGGGTTTCGCGGGCAGCTTTAGAGCCCCAGTCAGGGAAACCGAGGCCGGGCTTCCTGGCTGCCTCGCGAGCCTCTTCATGGCTCTCGCCGCCGCCCTGAGGTGCCTAGAATGGGTTCCGGCCTCCGGGGAGGTTCCCAGTAACCGCAGGAGCCACCATTGATTTGGCGTCTGCTGGGTGCAAAGCCCAGCGCGCTAACCCTTTACTCGCGACCTTTCGCTTCACCTTCACAGCAGCCCTGCGAGGTGAGTGTTGTTATTGGTGCCATTTACAGGGGTGGAAACTGAGGCCGCGGGTAGGTGAAATGATTTGCTCCAAGTCACCCAGTGGGTGAGCGCGACTCCAGACTGAAAATTTTGACCGTTCTGCTTCACTGCCTCCCCGCAAGAGGCGGGCCCTGGCCAGATGGAACTCACCTGGCATTCCCAAGGTATCTGCACAAGTGGCTTTGGGAGTCACTTAACTCTTCAGGACCTGGGTTATTACAGGTTATAAGTGTGGGACCGTCGGATTCCATGTGGCTAAGATTCTTTCTATGTGATTATTGTGGTTAGAAATAGAATATGCTTAGAACAGTCTCGTTCAGCGGTCGGCAAACTTTTGTTGTAAATATATCAGTGTTTACATTGTTATATTGTAAGTATAATGAGTATAATAGTATTCATAATAGTAGTTTAGGCTTGGGGGGTCCATACTCTGTCTACTTAACTGTAGCGATGTAGTGTGGATACAGCCAAAGACAATACATAACAGACTAGCTGCGTCGCAATAAAATTTTAATTATAGGGACCGAAGTTTTAATTTTATATATTGTTAATATAATTTTCACGTGTCATGATTTTTTTTCCCAAATATGAAAAAATGTAAAAACCATTCTTTGCTCGTGGGCTGTACAAAAAGGGTGGGCTGGTTAGCTTGCAGAACCCTCATCTAGTACAAAGCCTCATACATGAGGGGAAACAGACTGAGAGACTGACATCTATGTCAAGTCAGTCACACAGCCAGGGCACTGCCACCACTGAGCTTAAGACATAGGCTTCCCACCTTCCAGGCCAGGAAACATCCCCAGTTATCACTCTGGATCAGGGTGCTGAGGTCTGAAGGTGTGCTACTCTTTATCGTGTTCTGAGGCCATGGAAACTATATTCTAAGGGGTTTGGAAACTTATTAGCTTAGACTAATAAGCCTGGTGAATGTGCTGCTATCTGAGGAAATGCAGCTGCTGGGCTGGGAGTCAGAAATGAATAGATATTTTTCTTTTTCATGATTATTCAATAGCTTTTTTGTGTGTGTGTGTGACGGAGCCTTGGTCTGTCGCCCAGGCTGGAGTGCAGTGGCATGATCTCGGCTCACTGCAATCTCCGCCTCCCGGGTTCAAGCAGTTCTCCTGTCTCGGCCTCCCGAGTAGCTGGGACTACAGACACCCGCCACCATGCTTGGCTAATTTTTGTATTTTTAGTAGAGACGGGGTTTCACCGTATTGGTCAGGCTGCTCTCAAACTCCTGACCTCAGGTGATCCACCCGCCTCGGCCTCTGAAAGTGTTGGGATTACAGGCGTCAGACACCGCGCCCGGCCTCAATAGCTTTTTTTTTTTTAAAAGCTCCTTTTAGTGAGTTTCTTGGATTTATGGTGAACAATACATAAATGGTTACCATCCTCACATTGCTTACAGATGATAAATATATAATCAAAATGGTTATTTCTTTTTAAGCTTTTTTTTTTTTTTTTTTTGAGATGGAGTCTCGCCTGTGGCCCAGGCTGGAGTGCAGTGGTGCGATCTCGCCTCACTGCAAGCTCCGCCGCCTGGGTTCACGCCATTCTCCTGCCTCAGCCTCCCTAGTAGCTGGGACTACAGGCGCCTCTCACCATACCCTGCTAGTTTTTTGTATTTTTTAGTAGAGACGGAGTTTCACCGTGTTAGCCAGGATGGTCTTGATCTCCTGACCTCATGATCCGCCCGCCTCGGCCTCCAAAAGTGCTGGGATTATAGGCGTGAGCCACCATGCCCGGCCTCTTTTTAAGCTT